>NC_000022.11:38255018-38406533 GCF_000001405.40 Homo sapiens | reverse complement strand
ACTAAAAATACAAAAAATTAGCCAGGCGTGGTGGCGGGCACCTGTATTCCCAGCTACTTGGGAGGCTGAGGCAGGAGAATTGCTTGAACCCGGGAGGCGGAGGTTGCAGTGAGCTGAGATCACGCCATTGCACTCCAGTCTGGGCAACAAGAATGAAATTCTGTCTCAGAAATAAATAGAGAGAAAAGAGGAGGTGCAGGCATAGAGACATACAGGGGTATAATTCAGGTGTTAGCAGTTTTTATGGGTGATGAGTACATGGTATCTCTATTTTTTTAAAATTGTATGTCTTTTGCATGTATATCTTACAATAAAAATTATGTCTATATATTTGAATATATCATGTCTGTAGGTCAATAGTTCTGGAAGGAGACCCCAGACTGTTCACTGTGGCTCTTCCTAGAAAGTGTTATTGGGAGGCCGGACGCGGTGGCTCACGCCTGTCATCCCAGCACTTAGGAAGGCCAAGGTGGACGGATCACGAGATCAGGAGTTTGAGACCAGCCTGACCAACATGGTGAAACCCCATCTCTACTAAAAATACAAAAATTAGCCAGGGGTGGTGGCGGGTGCCTGTAATCTCAGCTACTCAGGAGGCTGAGAGAGGAGAATCGCTTGAACCCAGGAGGCGGAGTTTGCAGAGAACCGAGATCGTGCCATTGCACTCCAGCCTGGGCCACAGAACAAGACTCTGTCTCAAAAAAAAAAAAAAAAAAGTGTTATTGGGGGACAGGTGCATTCAAGGAGGAGACTTATATTTTACCCAAATATTCCTGGATGGTTTTAGTGTTGTGTTTTTTTTGTTTTTGTTTTTGTTTTTTTATAGACAGAATCTAGCTCTGTCACGCAGGCTGGAGTGCAGTGGCGGGATCTCGGCTCACTGCAAGCTCCGCCTCCTGGGTTCACACCATTCTCCTGCCTCAGCCTCCCGTGTAGCTGGGACTACAGGCACCCACCGCCACGCCCGGATAATTTTTTGTATTTTTTTAGTAGAGACGGGATTTCACCGTGTTAGCCAGGATGGTCTTGATCTCCTGACCTCGTGATCCACCCGCCTCGGCCTCCCAGAGTGCTGGGATTACAGGCGTGAGCCACCGCACCCAGCGGTTTTAATGTTTTTACAGTAAGTGCATATGACTTGCATAATTTCAAAGACCTAATTACAGCAAGTGAAGCAAAACAAAACCCAAATAACATTCACTTGAGATGAGCGAAAATGCCACGGGGCCATTTGCAGAGGCAGGCTGGTGGGATGGAAAGAGCCGCCACTTTCTGGCAAGTGATGGGACCTTCCTGAGGCTCAGTTTCTTCATCTGTAAAATGGGCCCAGTGGAGTCCTGTCTCACAGAGTCCCTGGAGGATTAGGGAGAATGAGATGGGCAAGGGGCCTGCCTTAGCCCTGGGTGCTCAGTGGATGTTTAGGAGGACACAGAAGCACTGAAAAGAGGGGGACCGGGCCGGATGCAGTGGCTCACGCCTGTAATCCCAACACTTTGGGAGGCCAAGGCAGGCGGATCACCTGAGTTCAGGAGTTCAAGACCAGCCTGGTCAACGTGGCGAAACCCCGTCACTACTAAAAATACGAATTAGCCAGGCATGGTGGCACGTGCCTGTAATCCCAGATACTCCGGAGGCTGAGGCAGGAGGATCCTTTGAACCCGGGAGGTGGAGGTTGCAGTGAGCCGAGACTGCACTACTGCACTCTAGCCTAGGCAACAAGAATGAAACTCCATCTCAAAAAAAAAAAAAAAAAAGAGGGGACCAGTGTTTTGGGAGTTCAGAAGAGGGGCTAAAGATTATGAGACTGGGCTGGGCATGGTATCTCACTCCTGTAATCCAGCACTTTGGGAGGCCAAGGCGGGCAGATCACTTGAGTCCAGGAGTTTGAGACCAGCCTCAGCAACATAGCGAAACCTTGCTTCTACAAAAAATACAAAAATTAGCCAGGTGTGGTGGCGAGGGCCTGTCGTCCCAGCTATTTGGGAGGCTGAGGTGGGACGATCGCTTGAGCCCTGGAGGCAGAGGTTACAGTGAACTGAGATCACACCACTACACTGTAACCTGCACAACAGAGTGAGACCCTGTCTCAAAAACAAAGCAAAACAAACAAAAAAAAAAAACGAGTGTGGGACTGAGAACAGGCTTTCGGCTCTGGGGTGGGGGAGGTGATGTGTGTGTGCCAGGCCTTGGGGGACTAGGAGAAAGTGGAGATGGGGTCAAAGGATGACATATTTGACTGGGGCTAGGAGGTGAGAAGGACGGGGTTAGTCCAGGCCAGCCAGGTCTGGGCGGGGGCAGTGCTAGGGGAGGGCGGGAGGGAAGAAGCTTTGCTCAGCACCCAGCAGAAGTGAGGATAAGGACTAACAGGCTTTATTTGGAACCAGGGAAGTCATGCAAATATATGCAAAAGATCATGCAAATGAGCCTGGCTGGGTGGCCGGTGGGAAGAGGACCCAGCTGGCGATTTTGTTCCTAAGTGTGGTCCAGGGCCACCTGTGACAGAATCACCCAGGAGCTCATCCTGGCCCCTGCCACCCATAGCCCTGCTGCTTCCTCCCTTTGGGGCTGCAGCCCAGGAGTCCACATGCCCAGGGAGCTCCCGGGTGACGACTGACTTCCGCATTCATTCATGGACCTGCGCGTGGTGACGCATTATAATGATACCACATTATAATATGTAACACAGACATTCAAGCAGAAAAGTATGTCTCCCTCCCACCCCCATTCCCAGACACAACCCCCGGTGCCAATTCCTTGTGTGTCCTTTTTTTTTTTTTTTTTTTGAGACAGAGTCTCACTCTGTTGCTCAGGCTGGAGTGCAGTGGCGTGATCTTGGCTCTCTGCAGCCTCCGCCTCCCAGGTTCAAACAATTCTCCTGCCTCAGCCTCCTGAGTAAATGGGCTAACAGGCGTGCACCACCATGCCCGGCTATTTTTTGTATTTTTAGTAGAGACGGTTTTCGCCATGTTGGCCAGGATGGTCTCCAACTCCTGACCTCAGGTGATCTGCCCGCCTTGGCCTCCCAAAATGCTGGGATTACAGGTATGAGCCACCGTGCCTGGTCCCTTGTGTGTCCTTCTGGAAGCTACTCTATACATTCCCAGGTGATTCCGCCTCCAACTGTTCAGATCCACTGCATCTTTGCATCTTAGGGCGATGCCTCTGGGTCACTCTGAAACTGAACTGTCACCCTTACATGTCTTTATTCACTTACTCAAAATTCCTGAGGAGGCTGCTGAATGCAGGGCCCATGCCAGGCACAGGGGAGACTCCGCTCTGCCCTCAGGAGCTCGCAGGAGATGGGGAGCCATTCATTTACAAAAGGCAGCAGCCCAGTGGTTAGAGCCCCAGCTCTGCAGTCAAGATGCTGGGTTCGGCAAGACCTCTCCTTCCCTGAGGGTAGTAATGGTACTTGCATCTCAGGGCAGCAACGTCATGGGCAAGAGGCTCATGCAAGCGTGAGAGCAGAGCAGTGTCTTTAATAAATGCTGCTTTCCTTCCAGAAAACAAGACTTTGCCTAGAGCAGATGCAATGGGGTCAGGGAGGCTTTTTGAACATTCGCTGGCCAGGCTTGGGGCCAATCGGTATGAGCTGCTGGTGGCAATCAGGGCTTCTCTCTCTTTTCTTTTTTCTTTTCTTTTCTTTTTTTTTCTTTCCTTCCTTTCTTCCTTCCTTCCTTCCTTCTTTTCTTTCTTCTCTCTTTCTTTCCTTCCTTCCTTCTTTTCTTTTCTTTTTTTCACCCAGGCTGGAGTGCAGTGGCATGATCTCAGCTCACTGCAACCTCCGCCTCCCAGGTTCAAGCGATTCTCCTGCCTCAGCTTCCCGAGTAGCTGGGACTATAGGCAAGCACCACCACACCCAGCTAATTTTTGTATTTTTAGTAGAGATGTGGTTTCACCATGTTGGCCAGGATGGTCTTGATCTCTTGACCTCGTGATCTGCCCACCTCGGCCTCCCAAAGTGCTGGGATTACAGGCTCGAGCCACCGCGCCCGGCTGGGCTTGTTTTCTTGTCCCATTCTCAGGCAGAGCTCTCTCTGGCTACGGTTCCAGTGCTGTGGGGCCTGGATGGGCAGCTGTGACAACAGAAGGTCCACAGCCCTTGGCCTGTGTTCAGGGGCCCCGGGGCCAGGGGGAGCCCGGCAGTCTCTCCTGTGCTCATTCTGAGTCTCTCTGAATCAGCCCTTACCTTCAAGGCCTGCCTCCTCCAGGCAGCCTTCCTAACTGCTTCAGCCAGAAGGGGAAGGGGAGGACATGCTCACCACCCGCCGGGCTTACTAAATACCTGCTGCTGGGTCCAGCGCTATGACATTAAAATAAATAAATAAATAAAAAATAAAAATAAACTCTAGTTTAATCCTTCCAACCCTTATGGAAGGAGGCATTTCACACCCACAGGTGCGGCAACTGAGCCTCAGAAAGGTGAAGAGACTTGCCCAAGGCCGCCCAAAGAATCAGCCTCCATGTGGGCTCTAAGTCTGCCCTGTTCCTGTCTTTGGGACTCCCGCCCGGAGAGCCCGAGCCCCTCAGCAGCAAAGTCCCAGGGACTGTGGAGGGACTGGGATAGCTGGACTCCTGTCGGCAGGGATGCTCATCACTGGGTGACCTTGGTGACATGGCCCGCTCTCCTTCCTCCCTGGAACTCGATGATCTCATCTATCAAATAGTGCCTGGCCTGCGACCCAGGGAAGCTGGGAGCATGTCTTGTCTATACCTCCAGTCCCTCTGGGCCCCTCTCCCAGCCTCCACACACTTCTCCAGCTCAGAGGGTGCCAAACAAGCTCAGCACCCCCTGCTGCTCCCCACCAGGCCCCTTCCAGTCCCACAGTCCCCCATTTCCTGGGCCAGAGTCCTGAGCAAACCCTTGGAGTCTTCCTTTTCTTGCCCCCACATGCAGTCACCAGGTCCTTTAGCTTCTCCCAACAAAGGGCCCCAGCTGGCATCTGTCTCCACCAAGCTTTGGGCTCCCCACAGGTGGGCTCAGGTTGACTCAGCTCAGAGAAAGTTAACTGCGGGACAGGTGCACAGCTCAGCAGCAGGAGGTGGCAGAAGGTGCTGACCCTCCTCGTCAGCTCTGCCTGAGCTGTTTGGACAATTGTGAAAAATGAGGTGTAGCTGATGTTTGCTGCATTGAACCAAGGTGAAGTGGGGCTTTTCTGCCCCTTCTCCAAGTACCATGTGCAGAGCTTCTCTTTTGGTTCCATTCTTTGTTTTTTTTGCTGGCATCTAGTAGCACCTGACTCCTTTAGAGATGGCCTAGGAAGGGAGTGATGGCAAAGCTGGATTTCTTGTGGGTGGAGCTAAGCATAGGAAGACCAACGTTCGATTTTCAATTTTCACTTCATGCAGTTATGAGTTTCTAGCTTTTATTACAAAACCAAATGTTTGCAGTGTTCTCCTGTTACTTTTGGAGTTTCCATATTTTAATTGTTTGAACTATACATGCTTTCCAAATAAATGGGAGGTATGAGTCTCACATTCTAAGGGAAGAATGTGTCTCAGGGAAGCCCTCCCGGACGAATTCAGATCCCTCTATGTTCTTCTGAAAACACAGTATGTATTTGCAACCCAGCAGTCAGTCACTGGCAGAATTTTGCAACGATTTCCCAGTTTCGTTGGCACGACTCCAGGACAAGGTTCTTTGTAATTCTTTGCTCAAACATAAGGAGGATCACATATAAATAAAACTCTTAGCGGATAGATCAGTGAATATAATCATCTTTCAATTTTAAAAGCTACAACATAATAAGGCACTTTTTTTTTTTTGAGGGAGGCAGCGAAACAGTAACAAATCATGATGCTATAATGTGAACAAAGTGGTAGCTTTGGAGGGCACAGGGGGAAAACAAGCACAACCGTTTTTGCTCAGAAAATAATTCAGTAGCAACAAGGTCTGAGAGCCAGGAATCTCCTTGTTCTTACTGAAACGATTATTTGTCAAAATATTTGATTGTTTCCCTATTCCCCCTGAAAAGTTTGGACTTTTCTTTTTGCTCGATTTTGACACTGGAATTTTTAACTGTCAGTGCTATTGTGTTTACAGCATTCAAGTTCTCAGAGTTCAAAGGTTATCCATTAACATGTAGAATGAGGCTACACTTAAAGGCTCAACCTGGTTGCACTTGTTCATAGTTTCTTTGTTGTGTAGCAAGGCTCATAGTCATTTGTTTTCATAAAGTTAAATGAAGTTTCTTGTTTATGAAGTGTTTTTGGACTGTGTTTTAGAATGTGACAATAAGATTAAAAAATATATTTTAAAGATAGGTATTCATCTTTTGTCAGAAAAGGACTCCTAATACTAAAAGTGATCAATATCAGTGGACTTGAGTGAAAAAAAATTCACCCAATTTAGTTTTTTAGTGCTGGCCTAAGAATCTACCGGCACTGCTAATTAATTGTGAGTAATTGATTGGCTTCCTTTTTAAAAAAGACTAACCAGACCATATGGGGGGTTAGTAGTTATATATAAAATGACAGCAAAACATGACACTTGGCAAATTCTTCCCCTTTGCTGAGCTGTCTTCTCAAATTCCTTTTCCTATTTATTAAGATTGCATTGCTCACCAGCTCCGGATCGTTTCTGTAGTGCGTTCTTTCTTTTGATTTAGGAAATAGATATTTTAAATGCTTTTCTTGATGTGTTTTAAAGTTTTTTCATTTTGGATATGCCGAAGGCCAGTAAAAAAACAAATATTTGGCTATTTTGTTGGTAGCGACTTGCATAGATCCATTTCACATTTGCATTAGTTTGCATTTTGGGGTAGAAAAATTGTGGATATGTTTGTTATGTCTGTGGTTCCTCGAGGCTTACTTAAAATGGGGAAATATCACAGGCCTTAGGAATCAGGATTTTTTTTGTCCTTTTTTTCAGTAAGAAAAAAAAAACAGTTGGGAAACGATTTAAATGAGTTGTGCGTAGGGAGGAGGGGAAAGGGTAGCGGTTTTTTGTTTTTTTTTGTCCCCGGTTTCCTCCAAATGGATTTCTATCAAAACCAAGTAGATTCTTGGAACCTAGTCTAAGTTTAGAAATCTCAAGTTAGAATAGCGCAAGCCCAGTCCTTTCAGAAAAAAAAAAATCAGAACAATTAAATAGCTTTCTGAAGATACTCATTTAAAAACTTTATCTTCTCGACCTTCCTCACGCTTGAAGAAAATCTGAGGTGTTTTTCGCGCACAGCTGCCTTCTAACCCGCGAGCAACGGCGTTAAGGTTTTGTTTGTAATTCGGGGTGACCCAGGAGTTCGGGCCGCGGGCCCCTCCCCTCGCCCGGGCACACCTTGCAGAGGAGGGGGCGGCGGGGACGGGACCCGGGTCTGCGCCTGCGCACACCCTCGCGGCCCCCCCCGCCCCCCCCGCCGGGTACCTGTCACGGCTACCGCCGCGGCGCTCGCCCGCCACGTTAAATCGGATGGCGGGAGTAGGGGTATGGGGCGGGGGGCGCGGGGAGGGTGGCACGGCGCGTGCGTGCGCGGGAGTCGCCGAGCGATAACTGGGAGTGCGCGCGCTCGCCGCTCGCTCGCGTCCCGGAGGCGGAGTCTGTGGCGGGGGGCGGAGCGGGGGCGGGCCTATGCTAGTCACGTGGGCGCGGGGGCGGGGTGGGGCGGGGCGGGGCGTCTCCGAGCGGCGGGCCGAGGGAGGGCGCAGCAGCTGCTCCCTGAACACTTTCTGACCCAACAGTCCCCCAGCGCCGGACGCGCCGCGCCCTGGCGGCTCTAGGGACCCCCCCCGCGCCTGCACTTAGCCCCGCGCCCGAGGTGAGCCCGGCCCCTAAATCCTCCGGGCGGGGGTGGGGGTGCGGGACGCTCCTTTTTTGTTGGGGGTCTTGGAGGCGCGAAGGCACTAGGCGCCTCGGCAGATGGCTGCACCCCTCGCTTGCGGCTCCCCGTGTCTTTTGGGGGGCCGGGTGCGGGCGCGGAATCCGGGAGGTGTCCGCACAAAAGGCCGAGAAAACTGCGCGAGGCCTCCCTCCCTCCGCCCTCCCCGCCCCCTCCCCTCCGCGCCCGCTCCTCCTCTTTCAAACCCGGCCGGCCCGAGTGGAGTCAGCTCAGTCCCGGCAGCCGCCGCGCGAGGAAATGGCCGAGGGGCCGGAGCCACAGGTAAAGGGGGGCGCCCCCCGCCCGCGCCAGCCGGGGCGCCCGCCTGGTCCTGCGGAGGCTCCCGCGCCGCCCCCGAGGCGCCCGGCTCTCGTTGTCTTGTCCCCCCCCAGGATGACCTCAGTTCCCCGTCTCAGCTTTCTAGCTGCTCTTTCTAGGGCGCCCCCTCCCCAGCCGGCTCCTGCGCTTCCGCTGGCGGGAAGGTGCGGGCGATCCCGGGCTGCATCCGCTCTTGGCCGTCACACTCACGCCGCACGATTCAGAAGGGCTTGGGGTGCGGGGTTCCCTGAATCTCCGCCGGGAGCGGGGGTCCGGGGGTCTGCGGGGGTGGGCGGTGGGGGGCTGTTCCGAAAAGTTGGGTCGCCCCGCGGGGCGGGTCTCCCAATTTGCCCAGTCGGCCCTTGGGGCGCGGGCGGAGGGGGGACGTTGGCGTAGGGTCCCCCGCGATACCCCGGGAAGGGCCGGGGGAAGTTGGAAATGGCCAAAACAATGCGTCGGGACAGGCTTCCCCCGTAAACAATGGCCGGGACGGTCCACACGGGCCAGGCGGAGGGCGCGTCTAAGGGACCGCGGGAGGGGCTGGGCCTCTCCGCGGACCCCGAGGTGCGCCGGGTGACTCCCTCGGGTGCCCAAAAATCTGTCCCCGGGAGTCCTGGGGCGCCTGCTTATCCCTGAGCAGGGATGCACGGGGCTGCGTTTCCTGGATGTGTGCGATAAGGTGGCTTTTTTTTCCCTCCTCTAATTTTAAAGATTTTTCTTAAGTCTTAATGTTCTATAAACACTTAAAGAATATCTTTACAACTCAATTGTAGTGGAACACCCAAAGGCAGCTGGAAGCAGAACTGGGAACTCTAAAGGGCAGGAAGGATTGAAATGCTAGCCCAAAAGTGCTGCTGCTTTTTTTTTTTTTCTTTTCTTTTTTTAAAGGGAAGTTTCTGCCAGGAGGTGCCAAGTGGTGAAACCGCTCAGTTTCAGGCACAGCCCTCTTGTCTCTCGATTTGGCCCCGACTGCGAGCCGGACGGGATGGTGGAGGGGCGGAGGGCGCTGCTGGGGGCCTGGGAGGCTGGATTTAGGGCTGCCTGGGCGGTACCGCCCGAGGGGCAAGACCCGACAGCGGGGCGCGCGCCGCAACGTAAGTCCCGGGGATTTGAGAAGACGTTCAGGGCCTGGGTTGGAATCCACATTTTGGGATTCTGGGTAGGGCCACCGAAGACGGGAAGGCGCATTCTTGGGCGGATGGGGTGAGCAGGCGGGGAGTTTTCCGCCAGGTTTAGTTACAGGAGCTAGAAAAGGCCACTTCTGGGACCCTGGCATCTGGGCCACCCTGAGAGCCCCAGAAACTTTTTTTTCTTTTTCTTTCCCCCCCACCCCCCAGAAAAGGATAGTCATTTCAGGTTTAAGGCTTTGGTGTATTGTTCCACTTCGAAATTCCTTGAGCCTCAGTTTATCTTCCTGAATCAGCCTATGGTGCTTGCAGCGGAGAAAGTAAATGGCGGTTGCAGTGGTCCACTGGCCAGTTTGGGGGTCCTGTATAATTGGCCACTGTGTGTGTCAGGCCTCTGAGCCCAGGCCAGGCCATTGCTCACACAAAGCTTGTTTGGTGGTCTCTTCACACGGACGTGTATGAAATTTGGTGCCGTGACCCCAACCCTTAAGAAGGTTGTTTGTAATTCTCCCCACCCTTGAGAATGTACTTTGTGAGATCCACCCCTGCCCACCAGAGAACAACCCCCTTTGACTGTAATTTTCCATTACCTTCCCAAATCCTATAAAATGGCCCCACCCCATCTCCCTTTGCTGACTCTTTTCGGACTCAGCCCGCCTGCACCCAGGTGAAATAAACAGCCATGTTGCTCACACAAAGCCTGTTTGGTGGTCTCTTCACACGGACGCATATGAAAGTGTGTCCTACAGCGTAGCTAGGTTTCTTAGTTTTCTAGATCGTTTGGAAGCATTAAGCTGTATGTTTTAAGAAGCCTAGGTCTGATTTAGTTCAGATTGATTCAATAATGTCTTCATCGCTTTTGAGTTGGTTGAATGACTTGACATGAGATTAAGCTCAACAAAAGAAAAGGTGAGGTAGCAACAGCTGCCGTCCAGGCCTGGCCACTAGGTAGGGGTCTTAGGAGGCCTTTTACCTTCTCTTTTGTATATGTCAAGAGGGACATTTACAATGTTCTTATTTTACTGTACTTCTTTCCCCTGAAGTGGATGTTCTTTCTTGATTGATATCAAACAAGACTTAAAATGCTAAGTTTTATGATACTTAGACAATGAGTAATAGATGTAGTTTCTAAAAGCCTTTATGTGTCTGCAGTGACAAGTGCAGAGGAATAACCTCATTGCTTTTTGTCTGAAAATATAACAGGCAAGCCACTAGTTTGTGCTTACTTAATGTGTGCTAAGAACTTTTAAGGTATGTCCTTAATGGTAGATAACTTTTTTCCTTCTGAGAAGTCATATTTATTTTAGATATTGTTTTGTTCAATATTCTGGAGACTAATAGTGTTTCATTTTGTTTCTTAACCCTGATGTTGCTGCCATTTTTAATCGGTTATATTTAAATTCAAGAGGCCGTAAGTTATTTAAAATACAGTTGTCAGTAGTTACAAGGCAGATTTATCATTTATTTTAATTGTTAGAATAGGATTAATAATCTGTTTGGAATTTTAATTATTTGGCATGATGAGGAAAGCTAGTCCTTTAGAATTGTCTTTATTTGCCTACAGAAGGAGGAAGTAGAGGACAAGATACGACTTTTATTGGTGAAGGACACACACTTTTTTCTTTAGTGTCCCACTCTTTTAATCCTTTTGTCTTCACATTTTTCTAACGCTTTGCAGTTTGACCTTTGCTGTTTTTTAATAACTTGTGAGATCGAAGTTTAGCAGTTGTGTTGGGTTCCTATTCCCTTTCACTTCTTACTCAAAAAAAGGAACTAATACACCACTTAGAAAAAATTTGTAGAAAACTTTTCTCCCCTTTACCCTGAGGAATCTATTTTGGTAACAGGTCAAAATTTTTTTCCACGTAGTAGGGGAGGAAGGAGGAGCAGTGAAGGTTTTGACTTTGACTGCCTTTACTTTTTTAAGGTGGGGGTAGATTTGCATTTTCTTTGTGAGCCTCCATTTTTGGCAGGAAAAGTTCAGGGAGGAGTAGGAGCCCCTAATCCCCTTCCAGTGGACTTGTTTTGGAGGAAATCTGAAAATAAGACTTAATCATCAAGTCACTTATAGACTGATGAAATAATTAAGGAATATAATGGCCTGGCAATGACTAAGTCGTTCTATCTCCTCATTGCAGGTACATGCTTATCACTTTTTTCTCTCTTAACAACGTTTATTATGAAATGGCATGTTTTCGCCACAGCAGGGTAGCCATTTCCCAACCCTGGAGCACTCTTAATTCTGAGATGCCTGATTAGAGCCTCAGGGGTCCCAAAAGATGTGCTGTTTTCCCACTTTATAAAATTACATTCTTTTCTCACAGTTGTCACAAACATGATATTGGTTGATAAGAACTTTGGAGTAGTTTTAATGACTCTTGACTGCCTGAAAGATGCCACTTTAAAAAAGGAGCTACTTTTAGCTGACTCTATTTGAAAGTAAATGATTGGACCCTTTTTATGTTTTATATGAAGCTTTGTTTCCATTTGCTTAAAAAAAAAAATTCAAATTGTCCCATTTCCTGTATGCCCATATGGCCTGTATGTTATAGATTTTGAGGTTGCTGGGTATGATTTGTTTTAAATGGTTCTTTCCTAATTTCCCATTTCAGTTTAATCCCTGAGCAGAATGTTTAATGAATGAATTGGGAAGGTGAAGCTGAAGGACTGAGCAATGGCTGTTTTCAAGCCTTAGAATTAGAAAGTAGGAATGAAAAACATGAGACAGTTGCATAAACTGAGTATTCCACTGATAAAATAAACGTAATAAGATTTTAAATCCAGTTCCTTCAATTGAAATCTAACAACAGAATAGTTTTTAGATTACTGGGATATTAAAAAATAAAAACCTGAAAGGTATTTACAGAACAGCTACCAACATGGAATTAAAGGAATCTCAATCTTGTTAAATATTCGAAAGAGTGAAGGGTTTGGTTACAGCATGTAAATTAAACTTGAGACAATGGCGGGTGGAGGGGTCTTGATCCGCACACCTCTTTTCCAGATTCTGCGGCGGGGAGGGGTGTTAAAATTAAAATGCACATGGAAGAAAAAAGTTTATTACACAAAGACGGCAGGAAATTTCTTGAATTCGGGTGAAGGAAGCCTGATTATTGAATATCACTTAATGGCCTCATTTTAGAGGCAGAATAAAAACTTTTCTGAAATGCTCATGTTTTTGGAGTAAGGTGAACTGGGTTATTTTTCCCCAACCAGTAATAACAGACAAATTTGCAGTGGTATCTGGGGCAAAGGTTTTTGAATTTAGACCACGAAGAGAGATAGAAATCTGACTTTAAGAAAGTGGAAGAACAGGGACCATTCTTTCCTAAAATCTGCAGCTCACGATGACATGCTCAATTATTGTACACATCTATCTTCCAGATAAATAGGGGGGAAGCCCCCGCTAGCCAGCTGCCGCCACATATTACCCTTTTATATTTAATGTTGGAATGCTTTCCATTTGAACATTTGTTGACTGACTGTTCTGAACATCTCCATTACTTCCTGCCCAGGGTATCAGCATAATTGAGTTACTGGAAATTTGGGGACAGTTTGGTAATTTTATGATAAAGTTGAGAAGTAAAATTACTAAACCTGAAAGGGCAGCTGAAGAAGTTGTATGAGAGAGTTAGTTGGATTCCTTACTTAGCCTTTGTTCTTATTAAGCTTTACAAAACTTGTTTCTGACCTCCACATGACTGTACTTCCTATAGAAAAGCTCCCCCAGACTCAGAAGCTAGGTTTTTAACAGACTCGTGTAGTGTTTCTGTATTGGTGTTCCATTATTTTCTGGTGTGTCTGGAAACCTTTGGAATTTAAAATGTAGTTAAATGGACTGGAAATGTAGACTCTAGACATTTCTTGAATCAGCATTAGGAATAATAGTTACTTTTACTTCTACCTCTATCAAATAAGGATAACATAAAGCATCTCAGTTATACTGAAGAAGTGTTTCTTTCTTTTGTAATCAATATAGAGTTTTTCTTCAGTTTATAAATCGACTGAACAATGATTGTATTATTAATTGAAAGGAGACTTTCCCCCTTGATTTTGAAAGCAAACAGGTGACTGGAAAGAGCCAGATATACAACTTTAGTATGTAGTCAGCAAAAGATAGGATGGGGAGGGGAATATTTAAATCTTGCAGAAGAATGATCTTATGCCTTAAAAGGCATTGCCTAAGCTTGTATTTAGCTAGGTTACTTGAATTGTGTTTAATTCAGAGCGCTCATTGGAAAAAGTGGTATGGTGTACTGGTCTAGTAGTGGGTATAGTTATTTGTGTGTGTATATATATATAGATAGATGTGTGTATACACACGTTCAGTGTTTTCATTGCAGAGAGTTAGTGCAGGTAAAGATAGAACAGTTTATTAACAGTTAATTAATTTGCTGAAATCTTTTTTTTTTGGTGCAGTTAGGCCTGTCAAATTTTTACAGATATTTAAGGTTGTACTGGTTAAGTAGTAGTAATAGGAGAAATGGATAGCAATGCTTAGTCTTGCTTAATTAAAGTTTTTAAAAATTCACTTTCCTTATAACTTTTTTTCAGATCAGGATGTTTTTAAAAACCACTTTGCAGATGACAGTATCTGTTAATATTGAAACTAAAACTAGTATGTTATACTTTAAGTTCTTACTAAGATCCCTTAACTGACCTTAACTGATTTAGGATGAATTCAGGCAGTTTCTAGTTAATGACACTCAAATATGCTATATGATTATATTTTTATAGTACTTTGGTCTCTAATCCTATTTAAAATTGGTAATTTATGAACAATTTCAGCAAAATGAAATTATTTCCTTTACAAGCTTCCCAAGTTGAAGAGTTTAGGTTGTAACCTTAAATATAAACTTTGAATATTCCAATCTTTTTCTTTCGCTTAACTTGGAAGCATCTTTCCACAGCTAAATTAGGAAAGTTGGGTTGACCATTTAGCCTCGTGGGTGTGACCCCTAGTAATTTCCTTGAAACAGTGTTGAAGAATTTAGAGCATTAAAAATAAAAAATAAAAAAACCTGTAGCTTTTTGATTGTTAGTAGATGGCTATGCAGAGTTTTCTCCACTTGTCAGATTAAGAAAAAATACTGTGTGTAAAAGACAGAGGAAAAACTTTCAGAGAAAATGTAAACTTCTAGCCAGGTCTTGGAGATAATTTTGTAGTTTTCAGGGTACAAATGCATTGGCCAGAGAATAGCAATTTAAGTTGAATTTTTTAATAACTCCTTATTTGGACACCTCAGTAACTTGGGAAAAAGTAGCTTTGTTAGCAGTATGACAAATTGTGTATAAATATAATTTTTCTGTGTTTTTGAGGACTTGAATACCTTATTGCTTTGTATTATGGTAGATACATATTCCATATCAACAGTGTAAGATAACCTATTAAGCAGAAGAAACAAAGAGGCTGTGCTGTTTCTAAAAGTTAACAGTTTGAGTACATCAGGATGTAAAGAAAAATATTCCCAAGTTACAGTAATTGTCAGCAAAGTGGCTGTTGTACCTAGTTAGTTGTACTTAAGCACAGATTACTGTGCTTTTTATTAAGCAGTGTATAATGTGTCCTATTTGCTAATTTCAAGATCTATAGGTAGTGGTAGAATTCATGGTAGCTTTAGTCACAAATCAGTGTGTAATTAGTGACCTAAAGAACATCACACTTCTATTCCAGCCTTTTGTAGCAGTGTGGTTCCCACTGGGTTTCAAAGATTATGCTCTGGTAAATTTTAAAAGTATCTACTGAAATAATCCCAATAGAAGTTTCTTTCAAAATATGGCTATACTCAATAGCCCACTTGCCTTAGGTGTTAGGGGGTATATGAGTTAAGTTCTGTCGTTTACCTGAGTAAAGATTTTAAAATGTTTTTAAACATTGGAAACCATTTTTGTGAAGTACTTGTCAGTAAGCTTAGCGTGTTCGTAATGCTCACTTTCTTGCAAGCTAGAAGCATTTAGATTATAGTCTTGGATTATAATATCCTCCTTTTCCCCTCCAGTTCTTTGTTGAGAAAGACAATTTACTTTAACAGCAGTGCCATCGGTTTACTGCTGCCTTCTGTGTGCAGGAGTGTGGAGAGCTGGAGGCTTCTGGGAAGGCTTGTGTTTGTGCACACACACCATTCAATTGGAATGGTGATTTGCTGTTAGTAGATTAGAATTTCTATTTTGCTGTATTCTGTTATTAACATCTTTATTGTTACAACCACTTTAACGATTACTGATGAGCGAATTGGTTTTAAGCGATGTAAACCTGGTTTAAAGTATTATTCATTGTCTTAGAGTTTAAGGAAAGTGTTTTGTCTAGTATGTTAGCAGTTTCTAAGTCAAGAGCTGAAGGCATTTGCTGTCAGAGATAGCCCTAGGATGCCCAGCATTTTTGTTTTGGAGGGTCGTAAGGAGAGTGAGTATAAATCCAAATAGTGCAGTTTTTGTTTTGCTTGTGCTGATGAACTTTATGGTGTGATTAAATATGATTTTTTTATTACGCTCTTGAAATTGTACTCTTGAAGTTGCAGAATGGCAATTAGATGGCAGTCACTGATAGCCATGTAGAAGTTTTGATGAACATGCAACTTAATTTTAATTTCTGATCAGTTACGTTTAGTGACTGTGGCCAAACATGTGCGTACTGATTCTACACGTGTGCTAATTCCGTGACGTTTATTCACCAGCTATGTGTCGCGTGCCTACTCCTGTGTCAGGCACCTTGTTCCAGGCATTGGGGGCAGCAGTGGACAAGGCAACAGAGTCTCCATCCTGAGGTGTTACTTTTAGAAAAAGACAGTTACAAGCAAACAAACAGGATGGTTTTAGATCTGGACAGAGGTTTTCAGAGGAAGTCATCCTTGAGCTGTCACAATGCTTTGGGGTTAGGGTGTGCTGGGTAGTCAGGGATGGCACATTTGGGGTGCCTAAGGATTGCTGTGGCCCTGGGAGCCTAGGACAGTTGATCACAATTGACTATTAGAGTCAGTCTCAGAAGCTTTCCTGGAGAAAGAATTGCTGCTGTTTTGCCAGGAGGGTTTCCTTCCCCATCTGACCACACAAGAAGACCCCTTGGCCTAGAATGCCTGCCCTCATCTCCAGGTCTCCCAGGCTGTTCACCCTCCCAGGCAAAGTGGAAACTTCCTCTGTCCTAAGATCGTTTCCCACTGAACCTCCTTCATTGTCCTTCACTGCAGAGAAATAATCCTACAAGGTCTTGTGTGGAGACTGATGGTAACTTCTTTAACCCAGATAATTGAGAATTGGAACCAAAACATCTGTCTGTTAATAAATATTTTCAGTAACTAAGTTATGCTGTTTCCCTGAGTGGGAAATAACACTCCATCATATTTCTTTTTTTTTGGGCAAGAGGGGGGAGTCAAAGTCTCGCTCTGTTGCCCAGGCTGGAATGCAGTGGCGCGATCTTGGCTCACTGCAACCTCCACCTCCTGGGTTCAAGTGATTCCCAAGTAGCTGGGATTACAGGTGTGTATTACCATGCCCAGCTAATTTTTGTATTTTTAGCAGATAAGGGGTTTCACCATGTTGGTCAGGCTGGTCTCCAACTCCTGACCTCAAGTGATCCACCCACTTCGGCTTCCCAAAGCATTGGGAGTACAGGTGTGAGCCACTATGCCCGGCCTCACATCATATTTCTAATCCCGAGACTGTAGAGCTGGTGTCTCTTTTTGGAAAGGATGTCAGTAGAGAAGTGGAGTTCCCCAAAATTACAGTTTCACATATTAGTCAAGTTTCTAAAATACAGTAATAATGTTGAGAGCTGACGTAGGGACTAACTTAGTTTTTGTTTTTTTTTTTTCAAATTCTCACCTAACTTTGATTTTGCTAAATAAGGACATTAAAAAAAACCCAAAAAACTCCACTATTGCATATTGCCACTATTTGATTTTTTAAAAAATAAGCGTATTTTAGCATCTGCAAGTAGGAAGGGCCTCAAATAAATGAGTCTTTGTTCTTGGCCAGGGAAAACAGCGTTGTCAGCATTTGTTAACTGTTTTTCTAGGGTATGTGCTGTTATTCAGTTAAAACCTTGCCTGGGACGCTAGCATTCAGTAAATACTTGTTGAATAAGCAAATGAAACTTAAGCTTCTATGTATAGAAACCTAAGTCACTTCACATTCTGATTAGCAGAGTAATTGAATATTCTTTTCAGTGTGTAGATCTATCCCCAGAACCACAGAATATTGGAACTGTAAAGGCCATCCTAGAGTTTAACCAACTGCGTTAAATAGATAATAGAAAGATGTGGTATGTGGCAGTGACAACTTGAAGGTTGTGACTAGAACTCGGGTCTCTGGAGTGTTCTATTATATCACACCAAGCTGGTCACCAGCCCATGTGTTGATCCTCCATTGTGATAGCAACAAAGAAGAGACTTCAGGACATTCTTTCCTTTACCCTAATCCTTGATCTTCAGTCTTATTTAGAAAAGCTTAATGTTAAAGATCTAGTTTATTCAAAACTAAAGATAACAAGGAGTATGAGAATTTCTATTTCGGAGTGTAAAGGAGGAGATGTTTCCTTGGCTTCTCTGAGCCTACAGGCCTTCCTTGCTCTTTAAGGAAGTAGAGAGAGGGAGGAAAGTAAAGTATGCTTTTGTTTTTTAAGGTTACTTTGCTGGGAGTAGTTTGCATCCCTTTTGGTTTTCTTGGGTGGAATTAACTGACTTAAGTTTTAAGTAGTTGGGACTATTTAGAAACAATGCCTATCCAATGTTTGCCATAAAGGCAGAGGGTATTGGCTTTAGAAGTTAATTCTTCTCCAGGAGTGAAAATTAGCTTCTAAACCAGAAGCAGCAGAGCTAAATAAAGTAATTTTCCACCTGGCCAGTGCATGATGTGAAAGGTAGATTAAAAAAATCAGAGGACCCATTTTCTGATGAAAGACTAAGCCATGTTGAAACAGCCCTGTTGAGGATTTTATTTTAAATCTATACATTCACAAAGGAGCTTTGTGTATGTCTTTCCCTATTTGTTGTTTGGACTAGGAAGCCCCACCCAGTGCTTGTTGAAGGCAGAAAGTTGTGGAAAGCAAGCCGGGATTTGAACAGTGGATTGAGGTTTCGAATATCCAGTGAACCAAAATATATCAGGGTTCCCGTGGCCAAAATGAGTGACCATTCTGAGGTGTTAAGTATTTCTTGAATGGGGATTTTAGGAAAAGTTTCTGTATTTCTGTGCTCATTTTGTTGACCTCTGTATGTGCAAAATCTCTAAGGGGGTGTTTGGGCACTTAGATTGGATGCAGATTTGTTTGTATATGAAACAGATTTTAAATTGTTTTGTATACACTGGATTTAAAATATTTTAGTTTACTAAAGTGTTTTAATGTTTTCATCTTAATCTTCACAGTTCTTATAGTCTTTAGATTTAGGGAGGCTGCTGATGGCATCCACATGTGCATTTTAGTGGCATTTAAAATGTATTCAGCTGAATTTAACAATTTCTGACCTAAAACTTGACATTTTAGATTTAAGTCGGTAAAGCACTGATTTAAACTGGATTTTAACTGGATGAAATTCTGATTTAATAAGTGTACTGACTGGATAAAATGCCAGTGATTTAATTAACAAGCACGTTTAACAGGATGCCCTATATATTAGTTAAAAGTGAAGCAATTGAATTAGGTACCATTTCAAAATGGTTGCTATACCCACTCTCTCTATCCTCCAATTACGGTATATTTTGAAATGGTTGCTTTTCCCTTTTCCTTGTGTAAAGAGCCTGAGGAAATTTTCTTCAGCCTTCATCGTGAGAACCTGGTGGGGTTTCTGGAAGTAAAATTCATGAAAGTATAAGGGGCCCCCAAGACGGGACTCCAACAAGTTTTTAACTCTCAAGCTAGTCCACACTCAGCCACCAGTAAATTTATTGATTACCATTGAAGTGTTCCTACCAATTACTGGCTCTGTGGCTTCTGCTCTCAGGTAAACTGTGATTTTCTATAGTCACCCATCTCTCTAGTTTTTGAGGAGGTGGTTTCCCTGTGACCTCTATTCTCGGACAGATCTAAGAAAAGTTGTTGATTTTCAGTTTATCTTTTTTTCCGTTGTGAAGATGGGAGTGATGACTTCCAAGTTCTCTACGTGTTGGAGTAGGAACTGGAAGACCTAATTAACTTCTTAAGAAACGGTCAAACTGTTTTCCAAAGTGGATCTAGCACTTTACATTCCTGGCATTGTATAAGAGTTTCAGTTTCTATCTTTGTCAACACGCCATCTTTCTAATTTTAGACATTCTAATAGGTATCTAGTGGTTTCTTATTATAGTTTTAATCTGCATTTCTCTAATAGCTAGTGATGATGACCATTTTTTCATTTGCTTATTTGCCAGTTGCAAATCTTTATTAGTGAAGTATCTGTTCACATATTTTGCCCATTTTTTAAAAGTTGGGTTGTTTTCTTACAATTGAAGTTTATTTTTTCTTATACTCAAAATTTTAGTTGACACATAATAAATTGTACATATTTATGAGGTACAATGTGATGTTTCAGTACATTTTACATTGCATAATGATCAAATCATGGTAATTAGCATATCCATTGCCTTAAACATTTACCATGTCTTTGATGTAAGAATATTCAAAATCCTCTCTTCTAGCTAGAATATGAATGTATTTTAAATGTACAACTTTGTTTTCTCACAATCCTATAAAATGATAGCTTGAGTCAATGAGTTATCCCCCCAAGTCCTATCAACCTTGTCTATTTTAGTGAAATTTAATATTGTCTAGAAAACACTAAACAAACATAGTTATTCAGAGAGGATAACTGAGCCCTCTGGTTATTCTCTCTAACCCACAAAGGAAGCTGAACACTTGATGTAAACTTCTATATCAGAGTAAATAGTAAGAATCCCCTCCATTACATACAAAAGAAAAAATAACTGGAGAGTCTGCTCTGAGGTTATTATCCTGTGGTCTTTGGTTTTGGAACATTCTCCCCCACCCCATGCCCTTCTCCCTCATCTTTAATGAGTATCTGTATGTATGGCAGAACAGTATGGTTTTTTTTTTATTATTATACTTTAAGTTTTAGGGTACATGTGCACAATGTGCAGGTTAGTTACATATGTATACATGTGACGTGCTGGTGCGCTGCACCCACTAACTTGTCATCTAGCATTAGGTATATCTCCCAATGCTATCCCTCCCCCCTCCCCCCACCCCACAACAGTCCCCAGAGTGTGATGTTCCCCTTCCTGGGTCCATGTGTTCTCATTGTTCAATTCCCACCTATGAGTGAGAATATGCGGTGTTTGGTTTTTTGTTCTTGCGATAGTTTACTGAGAATGATGATTTCCAATTTCATCCATGTCCCTACAAAGGACATGAACTCATCATTTTTTATGGCTGCATAGTATTCCATGGTGTATATGTGCCACATTTTCTTAATCCAGTCTATCATTGTTGGACATTTGGGTTGGTTCCAAGTCTTTGCTATTGTGAATAGTGCCGCAATAAACATACGTGTGCATGTGTCTTTATAGCAGCATGATTTATAGTCCTTTGGGTATATACCCAGTAATGGGATGGCTGGGTCAAATGGTATTTCTAGTTCTAGATCCCTGAGGAATCGCCACACTGACTTCCACAATGGTTGAACTAGTTTACAGTCCCACCAACAGTGTAAAAGTGTTCCTATTTCTCCACATCCTCTCCAGCACCTGTTGTTTCCTGACTTTTTAATGATTGCCATTCTAACTGGTGTGAGGTGGTATGTCATTGTGGTTTTGATTTGCAGTCCTCTGATGGCCAGTGATGATGAGCATTTTTTCATGTGTCTTTTGGCTGCATAAATGTCTTCTTTTGAGAAGTGTCTGTTCATGTCCTTTGCTCACTTTTTGATGGGGTTGTTTGTTTTTTTCTTGTAAATTTGTTTGAGTTCATTGCAGATTCTGGATATTAGCCCTTTGTCAGATGAGTAGGTTGCGAAAATTTTCTCCCATTTTGTAGTTTGCCTGTTCACTCTGATGGTAGTTTCTTTTGCTGTGCAGAAGCTCTTTAGTTTAATTAGATCCCATTTGTCAATTTTGGCTTTTGTTGCCATTGCTTTTGGTGTTTTAGACATGAAGTCCTTGCCCATGCCTATGTCCTGAATGGTAATGCCTAGGTTTTCTTCTAGGGTTTTTATGGTTTTAGGTCTAACGTTTAAGTCTTTAATCCATCTTGAATTGATTTTTGTATAAGGCGTAAGGAAGGGATCCAGTTTCAGCTTTCTGCATATGGCTAGCCAGCTTTCCCAGCACCATTTATTAAATAGGGAATCCTTTCCCCATTTCTTGTTTTTCTCAGGTTTGTCAAAGATCAGATAGTTGTAGATATGCGGCATTATTTCTGAGGGCTCTGTTGTGTTCCATTGATCTATATCTCTGTTTCGGTACCAGTACCATGCTGTTTTGGTTACTGTAGCCTCGTAGTATAGTTTGAAGTCAGGTAGTGTGATGCCTCCAGCTTTGTTCTTTTGGCTTAGGATTGACTTGGCGATGTGGGCTCTTTTTTGGTTCCATATGAACTTTAGTTTTTTCCAATTCTGTGAAGAAAGTCATTGGTAGCTTGATGGGGATGGCATTGAATCTGTAAATTACCTTGGGCAGTATGGCCATTTTCACGATATTGATTCTTCCTACCCATGAGCATGGAATGTTCTTCCATTTGTTTGTATCCTTTTTTATTTCCTTGAGCAGTGGTTTGTAGTTCTCCTTGAAGAGGTCCTTCACATCCCTTGTAAGTTGGATTCCTAGGTATTTTATTCTCTTTGAAGCAATTGTGAATGGGAGTTCACTCATGATTTGGCTCTCTGTTTGTCTGTTGTTGGTGTATAAGAATGCTTGTGATTTTTGTACATTGATTTTGTATCCTGAGACTTTGCTGAAGTTGCTTATCAGCTTAAGGAGATTTTGGGCTGAGACAATGGTGTTTTCTAGATATACAATCATGTCGTCTGCAAACAGGGACAATTTGACTTCCTCTTTTCCTAATTGAATACCCTTTATTTCCTTCTCCTGCCTAATTGCCCTGGCCAGAACTTCCAACACTATGTTGAATAGGAGTGGTGAGAGAGGGCATCCCTGTCTTGTGCCTGTTTTCAAAGGGAATGCTTCCAGTTTTTGCCCATTCAGTATGATATTGGCTGTGGGTTTGTCATAGATAGCTCTTATTATTTTGAGATACAAATGAATTTAAAGGAGCAACCAAGGAGGCACCTGCGAAAGAAAGGTGAGTAATAGACAGTTAAATAAAGTCACCCATCAGCATAAGTGTGCATAGAACTATACACACACACCGGCACATGAGCAAATATATCCATCAATCCATCCATTCATCCGTCTATCCATCCACGCTTCTCTTCACCACGCAAACTACACAAACTAATCCATGCACAGGATGGAAACCTAAAATAAGGAGAAAGGAAACTGATGGACATTTGTGGAATTTACTCTCAGGAGCCTGCATGGCCATATAGATTTTTTTTTTTTTTTAACAGAGTTTCCAACTCGTCTCATTGTAGCATTTTTTTGTAACTTTGCATCCTTCTTTGATGAAATTGTATAAAGAGGAGCAAGTAATAGGAGAGTTGCTTCTTCCTGTTAGTGTATTTGTCACTCTTAGTTTCTAGTAAGCAGTTTTTTTATGGGACTCAGATTTCCTGAGTTGAGACCCTGCCAGATTGGCCCAAGGCAGGAGGGAATCCTATTTGCAACACAGAGGAGATAGTGGCCAACAAGGAGCAGTGAAGCTTTGGGCTGAAAAGAACAGAACTAATGGAATGTGGACTTGTCCCTCACCCTCCAGAGCTCGGTCCACATGTGAGGCTGGTGCCCAGACCCAACCCCAAACCCACCACCTCACAGGATGCAGCGCTTTCTTAGGCCTGCAGCTATGCAGCTACTTTCCTATGTCTCATGGACAGCAAAGACTAGCATGATGGGTGAAGGATGGAGGTGACGGAGGCATTCAGGAAGTCAGCCCTTAATGGGATTAGCAGGCTGACCACCTGCACAGTGGAGTTGAATTGAAAAGAAATTTACCCTCAAAAGGCTGTCACACATTGGTCAGCTTCAGTGGTAGAGAATTCAGTTAAATCTTGAGTCACTGAGTCTTGGATAGATGTAAAATGTGTGCTACAATTATATAAAGTATGATGTGTAGGGAAAATGGCATGGCAGATTCTAACTAACCAAATGCACCTGAATTCTGTAAGGTTCAAGCAGTTTACATGTTGAAAGTTAATTGGAACTGTTTTTCACTGAAAACGTTAAGTCTGGGAGTTACATGTTGTCTTACTATGTATGTTTTAAGTTCTTCGGCACTGCCGTGTGTGTGAATTGAAAGAGTGTCTTCTGGTAGACTGGCCAATGCAACATATGAACAGAAATACAATTACACATGTATAGATGTATATATGGACACACATATACATGCATTCATACCCACAACATGCAGAGAGATTGAGATTCGGGCTATTGACTCTCACGAGCATCCATGTGAATGAGGAGTTCCCTTGAGACTAGTTTTAGAGTCTTCTCAGGATGAGCTTTGTGAAGAATATTCTTTTGTTATTTCGATGGAGGCAGGAAAATGTGGAAGAACTCACAGAGGGAGGCTTTTTATGTTAGTGTTTGTCACTTTTTGTTTTTGTGGGAATGAGACTGTACTAGTAGTGTGGATCAAGGGGGAAGCAAATCCTGCTTGGAGCCAGAAGGAGATAGCAGTGGACAAAGAGCAGAGACTCCCAGTCAAAGAAGAGAACAGACATAATAGCCCTGGAAGTATTCCCCACCCTCCAGAGTTCTGCCACTATGTGAGGCTGACTGCCTGAGCCCATATCCATCATCACACGGGATGCAGCCCTTGCTTGATGTCTTCTGCTACTTGGCCCTAACTCTTGGGCAGGAAAGACAACTAGGATTGGTGAAAAGTGAGGAGGTGATTGGAGGTGAATGAGAATGAGAAATTCAGATGGGATTATAAGAAGGAGAACTTACAAACTAAAGTTGAACTGGAATTAAATCCCCTCAAAAAAGGCTGTTACACATTGAGGTGAAGATACAGCCACCTCACCTACATGCATCGCCATGTTCACAGCCTAAGATATTCACTGTTGGCGTATAAAACCTCGTTTCTAATAAAAAAAACTCATACCAGGTCAACTTAGTGATAAAAGTACATGTGAATATTTAAAGTGTAACCAGAGAATAACTCATAGAGTAACTGTAGCTATTTGGTACAAAACATTTAGAATTAGGCATCGTGTCTGTTTCTGACCATATTTGTTCTTTAGTCCCCATCCAAATGAGCTGACGGCAGTCAGCATTGATGGAGGCATCAAGGACATGTGAGTTATAAAAGATGTACACACAAACACACACACAAACATAACTATGACAGAGAGAGACAGACAGAGAGAGAGATTGAGATTAGTGGGATTTAGTCTGAGGAGTGTCCACAGCAATACAGAGTGTCTGACACAGTTTATTTATCTTCTCACTGTAGCAGGTATAGGTAAACTTCCACATTTTTCCAGTCGTTTTGGAAAAAAGAGAAACAGACTACAGAGGGAGGCTTCTGTCTGTTACTGTCTTGTCACCCTTAGTAAGTAGCAGGCAAATACCTTAGAAACTCAGATTTCTGTGTATGAGACACACCAGAGTGGGCCGAGGGAAGAGAGAATCCTGTTTGGAGTGAGGAGGAGGCAGGAGTACTTGGGGAACTGTGAAGCCTTCAGCAGAAAGCAACAGAGCTAAGAGCCTTGGAGGTGTTCTCCACCCTCCAGAACTCTGCCACCACGGAGGCTGGTGCTCTAAACCTCAAATCACCATCCTATTGGATTGTGCCCCTGTGTCAAACCTCTAGTTACCTGACCCTTTTTGTGGGACATGAGAAACCACCATGCTGGGTGAGCATAAGGAGCTAATGGAGGGCCTTTTAAGCAGGACATTGAATGGAATAAGAGGGCTGACTACCTACAAATTGGAATTGAGTTTGAAATAACTGCCACCACAAAGTCTGTCACACATTGAGACTGAGGTCATAATAAAGAGGTTTACTTAAATAGGGAAGCATTACTATTTTCCCCCGCCTAAGATTTTGGTTGTCGCCATATAAATCCTCATTTCTAATAAAGAGAAAAAGACATTCCAGGTTCCAATAGTGCTATACACATGAATAGTCAGAAATTAATTGGTTTCTGTCTAGAATAATGAAAAGTAATTTTTCCAAAATATAAATTCAGAATTAAGTCTCCTCTCTGACTGTTTTCTCTTATCATCCGCTAGTCCACAGACAAACGAATTTAAAGGAGCAACCGAGGAGGCACCTGCGAAAGAAAGGTGAGTAATAAATAAAGTCACCCATCAGCATAAGTGTGCGTAGAACTATACACACACACAGGCACATGAGCAAATATATCCATCCATCCGTCCGTCCACACTTCTCTTCAACACACGTACACAAACTAATCCATGCACATGATGGAAACATAGACCAAAGAGAAAGGAGACTGATGGACATTTGTGGAATTTATTCTCAGGAGCCTGCATGGCCATAGAGATTTTTTTTTTTTTTTTTAACAGAGTTTCCAATTCGTCTCATTGTAGCATTTGTTAGTAACTTTGCATCCTTCTTTGGTGGAGTTGTATAAAAAGGAGCTGGTCATAGGAGAGTTGCCTCTTCCTGTTAGTGTATTTGCCTCCCTCAGTTCCTACTAAGCAGTTTTTTTATGGGACTCAGATTTCTTACAGAAATTAATTGGTTTCTGTCTAGAGTAATAAAAGCTAATTTTCCAAAAAAGTAAATTTAGAATCGTGTCTCCTATCTGACTGTATTCTTTTATCATCCTCTAGCCCACACACAGGTGAATTTAAAGGAGCAGCCCTGGTGTCACCTATCAGTAAAAGGTGAGTTATAAATACATGAAGACACACGTATGCATAAGAGTGCATAGAGCTATACACACACCAAGCACATACACAAATATATCCATCCATCTTCATCCATACACACTTTTGTCAACACATTTACACAAACCCATGCACAAAATGGAAACACAAAACACGGAGACAGATGGACATTTGTGGAATTTACTCTCAGGAGCCTGCATGGCCATACAGAGTGTTTTTTAACAGGGTTTCCAATTCTCATTGTAGCGTTTGTAGATAACTTTGCATCCTTTTTTGATGGAGTTGTATAAGGTCAGTTCGTAGGAGAGCTGCTTCTTCCTGTTAGTGTATTTGTCACCATCAATTTCTAGTAGGCAATTTTTTAAGGGATTCAGGTTTCCTGAGTTTGAGACCCTACCATAGTGTTCCAAGAAAGGAGAGAATCCTATTTGCAACATGGAGGAGATAGCAGCCAATAAGGAGTAGTGAAGCCCTGGGAAAAAAAGAACAGAGCTAATGGAACGTGGACTTGTCCCACACTCTTGAGAGCTCTGTCCACATGTGAGGTTGGTGCCTAGACCCAACCCAAACCCATCACCTCACTGGATGCCACTTTCCTCAGGTGTGCGGGTACTTCACTGTGTCTCATGGGCAGGAGAGACTAGCATGATCAGTGAAAGGAAGGAGGTGGTGGAGGGTTTTCCCAGTCATGTGAAAACCTCTCCTGGAAATAAATCATAAAGTTGTAAGTAATATGGAAAACCTGATTCAAGTTAATTATAGTGTAATGCTCAAGAAAACTTGCAAAATGAATGAGATTTTACAGAAGGAATAAAAGGATTGTGTTTAATCAGTGGCTGATTAAGGAAACATCTAGGTGAGAATTCTGTAGTTACTCATTAAGCAATAGCATGTGAGTTTTGTATGTAGTATTGATTTTTAAGCCAATAAATAAATTTTTAAAAGAATTTATTTTATAGGATGTTGGAGGCATGGGCAAATTAAAATGTATTTCTATTATTATTATTATTTGAGATGAAGTCTCGCTGTTGCCCAAGCTGGAGTGCAGTGGTGCAATCTCGGTTCACTGTGACCTCCATCTCCCGGGTTCAAGCGATTTTCCTGCCTCAGCCTCCTGAGTAGCTGGGACTGCAGTCACGTGCCACCATGCCAGACTAATTTTTTGTATTTTTGGTAGGGGCGGGGTTTCACTATATTGGCCAGGCTGGTCTTGAACTCCTGCCCTCGTGATCCACCTGCCTCAGCCTCTCAAACTGCTGGGTTTACAGTCATGAGCCACAGCGCCTGGCTAAAATGTATTTCTAATATGTACATAGGTTTAATTTATATATAATTTAATTAATCTCTGATTAACTGACCATTGATAAATGAGTCTCTGTTAATTGTTGGACTTCACTTACTGGGCTTATGTGGTAGGATTTGCGTACCCTCACTTATTACATATGTATGTATTTCATATTTATGGAAAATCTACTCCTTTTGGTGCAAAAAATGTATTTGCTAATAGTGTCAAAAAAGAGAAATTCATTATATGTCTATGTACCTTTTTACTCCATCAGCACTGCCTTCAGTGAAATGACAACAGTAACACATGAACGAACATTCCACAAAATTTGAGGTTTAAGTAAATAGAAAGCTAGATGTAAACACACACATAGACACACACAAAAGTAAATACACACATAGACACACACAAAAGTAAATACACACATAGACACACACAAAAGTATACATGTAGAAAAGAGAGATTCAGATTTGGGAAGTTCATTGTATGGAGCATCCATAACAATACAGAGTGTTTTAGACACTGTTTTCTAAAGTCTTATTACTGTAGTATCTGCAGGTACCTTTCTTTCTTTGATCTAGTTGGATAAAAGAGGAATAGGTCTTAAGAGGAATGCTTCTTATTCCTATTCCATTGGTCACCCTTATTTAGCAGCACCCTGAAACCTTAGGAAAATATGAGAATGTGTGTATTGTATGACGCTCTACTAGAGTGAGCCAAAAGAGGCAACAGTCCTATTTGGTGCAAGGAGGAGGTAACAGTGGGCAGGGAGCTGAGGAGCTCTCAACAGAAAAGAACAAAGCTAATAGACCCCTGGTCTCTTCGTCTGTTACCACATGAGGCTACTGCCCCAAAGGTAAACCCACCCTCAGATTGTATGGAGGCCCTGCCTTGGGTCTGTAGTTACTTAACCCTATCTGAGGGGCAGGAAAGACATCCATGATTGGTGAAGAGTTACTAGTGGTATTTGAACGTGAGAAGGCAGAAAATTACAAGGGCAAGCAAGGTGGGTGTTTACAAACTGAAGTTGATTTTATGTAAATTTTGCCAGAAACAGTAACTTGGGGATTAGGTTTAGGAGTAAAGAAATGTATATAAACTTGATTCATTAAGTTTTTTTCACAGGCTGAAAAATTTCATTACAAACATCTAAAACCTCATTTCCAGAGAAAAATTAAATACCATGTTTCAAATAAATAACTGATTAATGTCCATTTTTCAGGGTAACTAGATTATAAATTGTAGAATAATTATTGCTAATTTGTATCAGAAAATTAAGTCTAGGATAACATGTGGAGTCTTGCTATGTTCATTTTTAATCCTTTAGCTATTACCCCATTGAATTAAAAAGAGTAATGTGTGGTAGAGTCATCAATGATGGGCGAGATTTCAGAATACGGAGAGAAAGAAGAGAGGCATATATTAAGATTGGTAAAATTCACTCACAAATGAAGTAATAAAGAACTGCACTTAAATTGTGATTCATTAGATTGTTTGTTAAGGCCCAAGAGCACCTTTACATAATATAAGGTTTTCTTCTAGGAAAAAATGATATATTAATAGTAGATTCCAAATCATTGACATATACATTTTCAGAGTTCAGCCAGTTTATAAATGTAGAGCAATTGTACATAATTTCAACCAGAAAAGTATGTCTCTGAAGTCACTTGACCTGATGTGTACATTTTTAATCGTTAGCACTGGCCCGGATAAAATGGCATCAGTAGTCTTTCGCTAATTTGATATATCTTTGATATAACTCACCTTTCAATGGTGGTGTCATTGAAAACTACTGATGTTATTAATTTGGGTCAGTGCTAAAGGATATATCCACACACACACAGACATATAACACGTATATATGTGTGTGTGTATATATATACACAGATATATCTTTTAGCTATATATGTAGTATACATAGATATATAAATATGTATTTGTGTGTATATATACACATATCTATATACATATCTATATACATGTCTACATATGTGCATATTTAAATGTGTGTATATATATCTATATATAGATATATTCTTTAGCACTGACC
Source organism: Homo sapiens (assembly GCF_000001405.40). NCBI lineage: Eukaryota > Metazoa > Chordata > Mammalia > Primates > Hominidae > Homo > Homo sapiens. The sequence continues at coordinate 38,377,031 of NC_000022.11, read as the reverse complement.
CAAATTAATAACATCAGTAGTCATATATATATCCTTTAATATACATATGAGCATGTGCGTATATATATATATGTAAACATATGTATATATCCTTTAGCATATATATGTATATATACACATATATAGTTTATATATACATACATGTGTGTGTATATGCAGGTATATCTTGTTTTATTGTGCTTTACTTTATTGCCCCTCAGATGTTACTTTTTTGTAAACTGAAGGTTTGTAGCAACCCTACATTGAGCAAGTCTCCTGGTTTTATTTTTCCAACAGCGTGTTTTCACTTTGTGTCTCTGTCACATTTTAATAATTCTTGCAATATTCCAAACTTTTTATTATCATATCTGTTATGGTGATCTGTGATCAGTGATCTTTGATGTTACTATTGTAATTGTTTTGGGGCAACACGAACCATGTCCATATTAAGATGACAAGCCTAATCAATGACATGTTTGTTCTGACTGCTCCACTGACTAGCCATTCCCCCATCTCTCTCCTTCTCCTTGGGCCTCCCTATTCCCTGAGACACAACAATATTGAAAGTAGGCCATTTAATAAGCCTATGATGGTCTCTGAGTGTCCTAGTGAAAGGAAGAGTCACATGTCTCTCACTTTAAACCAAAAGCTAGAAATGATTGTGAGGAAGGCTAGACTTCTTGCACCAGTTCAGCCAAGTTGTGAATGTAAAACAAAAACAAAAACAAAAACAAAACAGAAAAGCCAAAAAACTTCTTGAAGAAAATTAAGACTGCTACTCCAGTGAACATACAAATGTTGAGAAAGCAAAACAGTCTGATTGCTAATATGGAGAATGTTTTAGTGGTCTGGATAAAGGATCAAACCAGCCACAGCATTCCCTTAAGCCAAAGCCTAATCCAGGACAAGGCCCTCACTCCCTTTGATTCAATGAAGCCTGGGAGAGGTAAGGAAGCTGCAGAAGAAAAGCTTGAAGCTAAAAGTTTGGTTCATGAGGTTTAAGGAAAGAAGCCATCTCCATCACATAAAAGTGCAAGGTAAACAGCAAGTGCCGTTGCAGAAGCAGCAGCAAGTTATCCAGAAGATCTAGCTGAGATAATTGATGAAGGTGGCCAAACTAAACAACACATTTTCAATGTAGACAAGATAGCCTTTTATTGGAAGAAGATGCCATCTAGGACTTTCATATTTAGAGAGGAGAAGTCAACGCATGGTTTGACATCTTCAAAGCACAGGCCAATTCTCTTGTTAGGGGCTAATGAAGCTGGTGACTTTTAAGTTGAAGCCAACAATCATTGACTATTCTGAAAATCCTGGGGCCCTTACGAATTATGCTAAATCAAGCAAGATGGGTGACTAGAGATGCCTGGTGCTCATCTCCCCTACAAGAAAGAATTGAGGCAAGAAATACACATCTAAGATTTGATTAGAATATCAAAGGGATAGTCCTGGAGTGCAGCAAAGGAGTGGAGACACACCTGTGGTGACTGGAAGTTGCCACAGCATGGAAGCACTCAGCCTGTGCAGCCCCTTCTGCCCCATCTGGATTGAATTGGCCCAGAGACAGGAGAGACTTCTCATTGCAGGGTGAAGGTAGGCAGAAGATCCCTGTCACCCCACTGCCATCACAAACACAAAGTCTTTACAACAGGAGAATCTCACAGTCTTTGCAAGCCCTCAGGCCAGTTTGGAGTATTGCCAAGAATTGACACAGCTGCATGTCCTGGACTAGGAGTACAAGGTGAAGACTTCCCACCCCCAGAGACTTAAGCTGCAGCAGCACAGCACCATCTTGAGACCAGAGTCATCTCTTGAGTGTGCCCTCCTCTGGGGGCAGTAGCCACTGTGCCTCTCCAGCACTGGAGCTTTATCTTCAGTACACCAAGCCCACATGGGTGGGTTAAAGCCACAATCCCAGCTGTGTGGAGGTTGGTCCCAGGACTGGCTGTAACTCAAGTAATGCATGCAGGGAAATCAACCCCCACCACCACACTTCCAGACAGAGGAATAATCTGCAGTCCCATCCAGGGTAAATTCACTCTTAAGACAGCCAAACCACTACATGCCCTCTCCCAAGTGGGAGAGGCCCCTAAGCCTCTGAGCAGCTGATACACCCCCAGGTCAACAGAGTGACTATGAGCCCATGCTCAGGACCTGAGAAACAGCCTTGCAGGCCCCATCCACCACAGACATGCTCCTGGCCTGCCCAGGAGCCCTCTGCCTTTAATAAGGGCCTGAGAAACAGTCCCACAGGCTGCCCCCAGCAGGCACACCACCGAGTGGGCCTTGCACCTGTCTCTCAGACCTGAGAGACAAGCAGCTGTGTATGCCCAAGTCTCAGGGCCAAGAAACAACCCTGGGAGCTTACTCTGGCCAGCAGACTGTCAGGCCAGCTAAGCAGCCACATACCTATGTCCCAGCTTGAGGAACAGCCCTTTAGGCCACCCCCGACAGAAACACTCCCAGGCCAACTAAGCAGCTGTGCGACCTTGCATGAGCCTGAGAAATAGTCCTGTATCCATTCCCAGCAGATGCACCTCCAGACCAGCCAATCAGCCATGAATGTCCATGTCCTGGACCTAAGAAAGAGCTCCATGGGCTACTCCCAGAAGACATGCCCTTAGGCCAGCCGAGCAGCCTCGTGTCCACATCCTGGCTCATAGAAGCAGTCCCCTGGGCTTCCCCTGGCAGGCACCACCCAGGCCAGCTGAGCAGCAGTGTGCCCACATCCTGAGCTAGAATAGCTCTATGGACTACCCCCAGCAGACACACATCCGGGACAGCTGAGAAGTCATTTGACTGTATCCCAGGCCTGAGAAACCCCCTTCTTGGCCAGCCCTGGCAAAGATATTTTCAGTCCAGCTTAGCAGCTATGCAGCTATATATTTGGCCCATGAGTTTCCCCCCAGCAGACTGGCCACAGGCCAGATGAGCAGCTGTGTACCCACATACCAGGTATGGGAAACAGCCCTTCAGGCCACTCCTGGAGTGCATTCTTCCAGGCCAGGCAAACAGCTGTGTGCCTGCATCCTGGGCCTGAGAAACTGTCCTGCAAAGCACATCTGGCAGTCATGCCCTGGTTGAGCAGCTGCATCCCCATGCTCCTGGCTAGAGTGACAGCACCATGGCCAGCCGCATAAAGCCATACTCCAAGTTTTCTGACCCACTGTGTGCCTGCACACACCCCTACCCTGCGAAACAGCCCAGTGAGCCCACCCCTGGCAAGGCTGCACCACCATCACTACAAACTTCCTTAACCTAGGCCACTGAGTAACTTGCAAATGTTACTAGTGTGGATCACAGCTGAATAAACTACATGGAGACTACACTTACTGCATCCATGTAGAACCAAGGCCAGTATACCCCAATGAACAGACATCCAAGACCCATTCATACAAATAAATTCATACAAGTAAACCTACTCCATAAAATTGGAAAAGGTGACTTTTTCACCAGATGCATAGAAATCAATTTAGAAACACAGCAACCGTGAAAATGCAAGAAAACATGTCACCTACAAAGGGAAATAGTAATTATCCAGTAATAGAACCCAATCATAAACATATGAAATGGCAGAAAAAAGAATAATCTTAAGGAAACTCAGTGAGATGTAAGGTAATACAGATAGACAAGTCAATGAAATCAGGAAAACATGATTTGAAAGAGAAATTTACTAAAGATACAGATATCATAAAAATAACCAAACAGAAGCCCTAAGAGCTAAACAGTTCAATGGATGAAATGAAAAAATACAATCAATGGCTTTACAGACAAGAATAAGCAGAAGAAATAATTTCTGAACTTGAAGACAAGTCTTTTGAAATAACAGGCAGGCAAAAAAGGATAAAAAAGAATGAAAAAAGCCTACAGGATTTATGGGACACCATTAATTTGATCAAATATTCATATTATGGGCATTCCAGAAGGAAAAGTGTAGAGAAAATATGAGGAAAACATATTTAATAAAATAGCATGAAACTTCCTAACTCTTGAGAGAAAGCTAGACATCTAGTTCCAGGAAGATCAAAGAACCCCAGATACATTCAACCCAGACATTATAGTCAAATTGTGAAAAATCAAAGACAAAGATATTTTAAAATAGCAAGAGAAAAGTAACACACTTATAATGGAATCCCCATTAGACTAACAGCTGATTTCCCAGCAGAAACCTTAGGCTAGAAGAGAATGGGATGATATATTCGAAGTTCTGAAAGAAAAAAAATCTTTCGGCCAAGAATATTATACCCAGCACAGCTATCCGTTACAAATGAAGACATAAAATCTGTCACAGATAAACAAAAACCAAGATAATTCATCACCACTAGACCAGCGTTACAAGAAATGCCCAAGGGAGTTTTACATCTGGAAGTAAAAAGATGATAACCACCATCATGAAAACATGCAAAACTTTAAAAGTCACTGTTAGAGTCAATACATAAAGGAGAAAGAGAAAGGAATGAAACCTTATCACTACAGAAAACTACCCAACTTCAAAAGTAAACAGGAAGAAAGGAATAAAACATATACAAAACAACCAGAAAACAATAAAACGTTGGAAGTAACTCCTCACCTACCAATAATAACTTTGAATGTTAATAGATTAAATACCCCATGAAGGATATAGACTTACTGAGTGGATTAAAAAATAAGATCCAACTATATTTTATCTAAAAGAAACTCACTTTACTGGTAAAGAAACACATAGACTGATAATGAAGGGATGGAAAAAGATATTCTGTGCAAATGGAAGCCAAAAGTGAGCAGGAATAGCTATACTTGTATCAGACAAAACAGAGTTCAAGTTAAAAACCATAAAAATTGACAAACAAGATTATTATGTAATAATAAAGGATTCAGTTCAGCAAGAAATATAATTGTAATATGTGTATAATTGTAAATATGTATGCACTCAAACACCAGATCACCTAGATATATAAAGCGAATATTACTGGATCTAAAGAGGGAGATAGACCCCATTACAATAAGAGTTGGGCACTTCGTATCCCACTCTCAGCATTGGACAAATCATCTAGACAGAAAATCAACAAAGAAACATCAGACTTAAACTCCACCATAGACCAAATGGACATAAATAACAAACATATACAGAACATCTCACCTAACAGCTGCAGAATACACATTCTTTTCTTCAGCACATGAAACATTATCCAAGATAGACCGTATGTTAGGCTACAAAACAAGTCTCAACAAATTCTATCAGGTATCTCATCTTACCACGATGAAATAAAACTAGACATTCATAACAAGAGGAACATTCAAAACTATACAGACATATGGAAATTAAACAACATGCCCTTGAGTTACAATGAGTGAAGAAAGAAATTAAGAATGAAATTTAAGAATTCCTTGAAACAAATGTAACTAGAAACACAATATACCAAAACGGGACAGAGCAGAAGCAGTTATTAAGAAGTATGTTTTTAGCTTCAACCATGTCCCTACAAAGGACATGAACTCATCATTTTTTCAGCAAACTATCGCAAGGACAAAACACCAAACATCACATGTTCTCACTCATAGGTGGGAATTGAACAATGAGAACACTTGGACACAGGAAGGGGGACATCACACACTGGGGCCTGTTGTTGAGTAGGGGGAGGGGGGAGGGATAGCATTAGGAGATAAAACTAATGTAAATGACGAGTTAATGGGCGCAGCACACCAACATGGCACATGTATACATATGTAACAAACCTGCACATTGTGCACATGTACCCTAGAACTTAAAGTATAAAAAAAAAAAGAAGTATGTTTTTAGCAATAAATGCCTGGATCAAAAAAACTAGAAAACTTTCAAATAAACCACTGAACAATTCTACCTCAAGAAACTAGAATATTAAGAACCAACCAACCCCCAAATTATTAAAAGGAAATAAATAATGAAGACCAAACAGAAATAAACAAATTTGAGGCAAAAATTACAAAAGGTTAACAACAAAAAGCAGGTTTAAAAAATATCAACAAACCATTAGCTAGACTAATTAAGAAAAAGGGAAGACCCAAATAAGTAAAATCAGAAACAAGGAAAAGAGACCTCATAACAGATATGACAGAAATAAAAATAATTATTAGAGACTATTATGAGCAACTCTACAATAAATTTGAAAACCTGGAGGAGGTGGACAAAATCCTTGACCCATACGACCTACCAAGACTAAACCAAGAAGAAATAGAAAAAAACCTGAACAGACCAAAAACAAGTAACGAGATTGAATCAGTAATAAAAAGGCTTTCAACAAAGTCCAGGACCTGATGGCTTCACCACTTAATCCTCACTTGTGAAAGGAAGAGTCATTTGCCACAGCAAACTTCATTGTTGTCCTATCTTAAGAAATTGCCTCAGCCACTCCGACCATTGGCAACCACCACTCTGATCAGTCAGCAGCCATGAACATGGAGGCAACGCCCTCCACCAGCAAAAAGACTATGACTTGCTAAAGGCTCAGGTGATCATTAGCATTTTTTAACCAATAAAGTAGTTTTTAATTAAGGTATGTACATAAGTTTTTTGAACATAATGCCATTGCAAACTTAACAGGCTACAGTGTAGGGTAAACGTAACTTTTATATGCACAGCAACCCAAAACATTAGTGTGAGTTGCTTAATGCAGTTTTTGCTTTATTGCAGTGGTCTGGAATGAAACCCACAATGTCTTTGAGATATGTCTATACACATTATTTATATATTATATATCTGTATACATATTCTTTTATATATCTTTATATACATATATATAGAAAGAGACAGAGAAAAGAAGATAAAAATATGCAAAATTCAGTGTTGGGAGTATCCATGAGGAAAGAGTTGCTGGTTAATGATTGTAATTTTCTTTCTTAAATATTAGGTCTTCCAGTGAGCTAAGTCATGTTTACTATATCCTTTAGATTCATGGGATTCTTGTTATTCAAATATATTTTTCATCACTATTTTGTGTAGCAAATATCTAAGGATACATTTTTGCATTTTTTTTTTTTGGTGGCTAAAGAATGTTAGAACGACTTTCCAAGTTTGAAGTTGGAGATGCTGAAAATGTTGCTTCATATGAGTAAGTCAGTTTGAAGTTTGAAAGGAGGGAGCTATTGATGGATCTCTTATCTTTAAACAGGGCTTCCGCTGAGGCAAGAAGGAAAAAGGGAAACTATGGAAAGATATCAAAATGTATGGGTGGGAGGGTACACCGTATTTACTCCAGTTGAATTCTTAGACAAGTATTATTTTGAAAAAAAATTCCATCCATTCAGAAATAAATGTTCTTCTAGCTTGAAAATGTAAAAAGTATTCTTAGAGGAAATTAATTCCATTAAAAGTTTTTTTAAAAAAAACAGGAATGCAGAATGCTACTTAACTCATCAATAGTGAACGTTTCTCATTTTTACTGGATATGGTGTGATTCCCAATTTTGTAGATTTTGCCTATGAGCAAATAGTATTGATAGCAAAAGCAAACATATTTTGCTGACTAAAGACCTCTTTATGCTCATTGGGATTTTATTCTTATTTGTTTCTAATCTCACTAGAGTACTTCCTGTTGCACTGACCTGAAGGCATTTTATCATGTACTTACTGTAATGAAACAATACATTCTTAAACTGGCTTGTGTCTGAACTGCAGACATATTCAGGAGATTTTTCTTCTGCTTCTTTCTTGCCCAGTTGTATAACCATTCACCAGCTTGTGTCAATGCTGGAGAGGAAGTACGGCCATAGAGGAAGTTAACTCACCATGGTTGTAAGCTGTTGGTGTCTAAACAAAGATTGGAAACAAAGAGGGCAAATACAAGTAGTTCTTCAAATTACCCTGAATTTGCCACTGAATTAAACTGTGTGTCTGCAGATTAGCTATACGTTTTCTGTAATGGAGCTGCCCAGGGCTGAAACAAAATTAGATTAAGCAAGGCAAGCATTTCCTTCTTTCCTGACTCCAAACAAAATAAAGCAGGTTTTCATTTTATTTTATTTTTAAATTACAAAGTCTCATTACGTAGATATAGGAGGAATTTGCAATAGTCCCTGTGAGAAATGCTGGTGTTTCATACCAGGGGGATGATACTGGATTTATAGTAAAAGCTGGAATCAGTGCTTGGCTTTGGCATATCATATATTCATTCACCTGATACTCAGCAAGTCACTAACCCTCTTTAACTTTCAGATTATTCAAATGTAAACTGGCTATAATGCAATCTATGTACTGGATATTGTATTGTAAAAAATTAGTAATAAAACGAAAATAACATGCAAAAATACTTCGAAAACTCTGTAGATCTGTAAATAGGTTTTATTCTAAAAACTGAAAATAACGTAAGAGGTCATTAAAGGAAAATCAGAAAATACAATCAACAAATCTACCCACATATAGTCATTCTTAAGCTTTGATGCATGCACTTCTAAGTTCTTCAAGCATATACTTTTTTTGTTTACAGATATGAGACCATACTTATTCTTTTGTAAATAACCTTATTAATGACATCATTTTTTTTGTTAATATATATTCATGTGCACTTACAACATTATTTGTAACAGTTGTGTGATATTTCATGGTGTAGATGTGCTATATATAATTTATTTAATAGTCAGATATTGCTGAACAATTAAGTTTTTTACAAGTTTTTAACTGTTACAAAAATGAATATATTTGAGGCTAAATCTCTGTATATTGTTGGTTATTTGCTTGTTATAAATTCTCAGAAGTGGAAATTCTGTGTCAAAGGGAATGATTGTGACGCTATTGATACTGATATGTGCTTTAACATCAAGATGCAAAGTGTACATTTCTCCCCTCCCACACTTAACACTAGCCATCATTGATTTCTCTGATATTAGTAAATATATTTGTTCTAATGCACGTTCTTTGACACACCTTCATTTATCCTTTTCTGTCTTTGGACTGAAAAGTTAAATCTATTGATCCTTTTTCTATTTTATGTAATATAAGCAATTTCTCCCAGGTTGTCTTGCTTTTCACTATATAAAAGCATTTCATCCTCATGTAATCAAATGTATCTGTACTTTTCTTTGTGATTTTGCCTTTAATGTTATTCTCAGAAAGTCCTTCTTACCCCAAGATTTTAAACATATTCACCAAAATTTCTGTTTTGAATTTATTTTCTTCATTTAAATAAAATATCTGCCCTGAATTTACTTTGTCTTAAGGTATAAAGTGTAGAAATTTACTTTTCTCCTAAGTGACTCATAGTTTTTTCAGCATGAACATGTCATCCCCCTGTATTGTCCTTACCCTGTTTTAGTGATCTAGAGGGAGCAGGAAGACCAGAGTCACTACAGTGTTTTTCGTGCTTTTCATCATGGCCACCTCCCTACCCCCAGAGTCTGCACAAGAGAAAAATGTGTCCAGTGGGAGAGATAGCACCTGCCTTCAATACAAATCCCATTTCATTAAACATGGTCTTGTTAGTGTCATGTAGCTTCCACCTTCTATTGATAAAAAATGAGTCATGTTCATAGTTAATATTTTTGCTTTTAATTCAACTTTGATATTAATATTGGAACTTTTAAGTGTTTTAAGGTTTAGTATCTCATATCTTTTTTTCTCTCTCTTTTTTTTTTTTTGAGCCGGAGTCTCGCTCTGTCACCAGGCTGGAGTGCAGTGGCGCCACTCAGCTCACTGCAACCTCCGCTTCCCAGGTTCAAGTGATTCTCCTGCCTCAGCCTCGTGAGTAGCTGGGACTACAGGCACGCACCACCACGCCCAGCTAATTTTTTGTATTTTTAGTAGAGATGGAGTTTCACCATGTTGGCCAGGATAGTCTCGATCTCTTGACCTCATGATCCACCCACCTTGGCCACCCAAAGTGCTGGGATTACAGGCGTGAGCCACCGTGCCTGGCCTCTATCTCTTTATTTTTGAATTGTCATTTAAATTTAGTTTTTGTCTCTCGTGTATAGCATGTAATGCCTTTAATTTCAAAGTTATCTGAGAGTATTTCTCAATATGCAGTATGAGAGTAATATGTTTGTATTTATGATTTCTGGTACGTTTGGTTTTATTTATCATCTTTTTCTTTATTAAAAATACTTTGATATTTTCTTTGTAAATTTGTCTATATTTTGCAATTAATTGATTTGTTTTTATCCCTTGCATTTTTTGTTGATATGCAAGTCAGAAGCCCATTTCTAGTCTATCAATGTTTATATTTAAATGTTTAGAAAACATAATTATACCATTTTATCCATCAATATCGAGAATAAAACTGGACTTGTACCTGTGAAAGATAAGAAATGCAACCTGCCTTTACTTCTATCTTCTTCCACACCTTGAATCCTAGTGTAAGAATGCCTAAAAATTCAAATCAATACTATTATTCATGATTTTATATTATCTTTACTTTCAGAATCATTTATTTACATTTTCACCTGCTACTTTTCTTTTATTATTATACTGTAAGTTCTAGGGTACATGTGCACAATGTGCAGGTTTGTTACATATTCGTGCATGTGCCATGTTGGTGTGCTGTACCCATTAATTCGTCATTTACATTAGGCGTATCTCCTAATGCTATCCCTCCCCCATCCCCCCACCCCATGACAGGCCCTGGTGTGTGATGTTCCCCTTCCTGTGTCCAAGGGTTCTCATTGTTCAATTCCCACCTGTGAGTGAGAACATGCAGTGTTTGGTTTTCTGACCTTGCGATAGTTTGCTGAGAATGATGGTTTCCAGCTTCATCCATATCCCTACAAAGGACATGAACTCATCCTTTTTTATGGCTGCTTATTATTCCATGGTGTATATGTGCCACATTTTCTTAATCCAATCTATCATTGTTGGACATTTGGGTTGGTTCCAAGTCTTTGCTATTGTGAATAGTGCTGCAATAAACATACGTGTGCATGTGTCTTTATAGCAGCATGATTTATAATCCTTTGAGTATATACCCAGTAATGGGATGGCTGGGTCAAATGGTATTTCTAGTTTTAGATCCTTGAGGAATCGCCACACTGTCTTCCACAATGGTTGAAGTAGTTTACAGTCCCACCAACAGTGTAAAAGTGTTCAGTTTCTCCACATCCTCTCCAGCACCTGTTGTTTCTTGACTTTTTAATGATCACCATTCTAACTGTCGTGAGATGGTATGTCATGGTGGTTTTGATTTGCATTCCTCTGATGGCCAGTGATGATGAGCATTTTTTCATGTGTCTGTGGGCTGCATAAATGTCTTCTTTTGAGAAGTGTCTGTTCATATCCTTTGCCCACCTTTTTATGGGGTTGTTTGTTTTTTTCTTGTAAATTTGTTTGAGATCTTTGTAGATTCTGGATATTAGCCCTTTGTCAGATGAGTAGATTGCAAAAATTTTCTCCCATTCTGTAGTTTGCCTGTTCACTCTGATGGTAGTTTCTTTTGCTGTGCAGAAGCTCTTTAGTTTAATTAGATCCCATTTGTCAATTCTGGCTTTTGTTGCCATTGCTTTTGTTCACCTGCTACATTTTTATGCTACATTAACAATTATTATTTAGACTTACCTAATTTTGAGTTTATATTATTTATCATCTTTTCTCTGTAAGTCATCTTCCTTATTTCTGTGTTCTTCATTTTGATTCATTGCTCAGCTGACTCAAGCACTTTGAGTAATTGTTTTTAGGAAAGGTACATGGAGGCTATGCTTCGTGTTGCTTCATGTTGGAGTATCTGTCTGTTGTTCCCGAGTGTGAACCGTACTTTTCCTGGGTATGGATTTACTGAGTCATAGTTATTTCCCTGCAAACTCTGCACATAACTGCTTGAAGCTGCATTTACATAGTATACCTTTTTAACCAAAAAAGTCTCAATTGTGTATTTACTTGGTATAGTTTCAGGGGACACTCAAACAGATTAAGGGGCTAAAGCCACCCAAGCCACTTCTTCATGCCTTCGTAATCTGTCAGACTTGGTTCTGTATGGTGACATTGTCAAGTGAGTTCAGATTTATGACATTTCCTTGATACCCAGAGATCTAGTAGACTGTGTGGGATCAGAGGTTCTTGTAGTAAGGGAATGGCAACTTGAGGAGAGAATTCACCTCTTTTGGCCAATTGATCCTCCATCTATATCAGCCTTAACTCTCCAAGCCTGGGTGGAGGTGGTGGGTCCAGGTGGAGAGGGGAAGATTAGAAGGATTGGGGATTTCCTTTATCTCAGGTTAACCTAACATCATTCATCAAAGGCCAATTTTGTTTTTTTTAACTTTTATTTTAGGTTTGGAGGTACACGTGAGGTTTGTTACATAGGTAAACTTGTGTCAGGGAGGTGTTTTTTTTTTTTTTTTACATATTATTTCATCATCCAGGTATTAAGCTCAGTACCCAAATAGTTATCTTTTCTGCTCCTCTCTCTCCTCCTGCCCTCCCCACTCAAGTAGACCCCAGTGTCTATTTCCTTCTTTGTGTTCATCAGTCCTTATGATTTAGCTACCACTGATAGGTGAGAACATTCAGTATTTGGTTTTCTCTTTCTGCACTAGTTTGCTAAGGATAAGAGCCTCCAGCTCCATCGATGTTCCCACAAAATACATGATCTCATTCTTTTTTTATGGCTGCATAGTATTCCATGGTATATATGTACCACATTTTCTTTATCCAATCTGTCATTGATGGGTACCTAGGTTGATTCCATGTCTTTGCTATTGTAAATAGTGCTGCAGTGAACATTCATATGCATGTATCTTTATAGTAGAATGATTTGTATTCCTCTGGGTATCTACTCAGTAATGGGATTGCTCAGTCAAATAGTTCTGCTTTTAGCTCTTCAAGGTATTGCCATAGTGCTTTTTACAGTGGTTGAACTAATTTACACTCCCACCAACAATGTGTAAGTGTTCCCTTTTCTCTGCAACCTTGCCCGCATCTGTTATTTTTTGACTTTTTAGTAATAGCCATTCTGACTGGTGTGAAATGGTATCTCATTGTGGTTTTGATTTGCATTTCTCTAATCTGTGATATTGAGCTTTTCTTCATATGCTTGTTGGCCACATGCATGTCTTCTTTTGAGAAATGTCTGTTCATGTCAAAGGCCAATTGTCAGTGCCCCAGTTCTGCTCAGTATCTGCCCTCTTTGTTCTCCAGTCTTAGGCACAGGCTGTGAGCATTGTCTTAGGATTCATGGCTCTTGGGGTGGAATTTGAGTCCTGTGTTGGAGGCTTCAGTATGACAGAAACTTCCTGAAGACTTCTCCTACTGAAGCCTCCTGTGTTGGAGGCTTCTCCTCCTGAAGAGCTTCCAACACAGGAGGCTTCAGTAGGACAAAAAAAATTGTTCCTCATGAGCTACCTTGTCTCCAGCCATAAGGTAAAATGAGGCATTATTGGAGGCTCCATCAAACAGGTTCTCCTTCCTTTGATTAATGGAAGGAGCCCAGTCTTTCGGGTGTTTCTCCTTTGAAGTATATCTTACTAAAATGTCTTACCTCTGAAGTTCATTTGCAACCTCATATGCGACTCTTGCTAATGTATATCTGCTCACTAGGTGTCTAGTTTGAGGGGATGACAAGAGCATCATTTACTCCCTATGCTCATTCCTGAAACCTTATTTTATTGCAGTGGAAACTGAGATCTGGCCAAAGTTTGATGATTTGCCCAGGCTGGCATTAAAATACAGTTCTCTTCTACCACCCTTTTCTGTCTTCATGCTATACTCCTTGAGATGATGACCACAAGTTTAAGTTTAGTATTGCCATAAAGTTGGGGTTGGGGCTTTGCATGCAATGGAAATGTTACTAAACATCCAAAGTTTACTGTCTTCTGGATAGCATAGTAAACAAGTAAAATACTCATGGAGCAGGAAGAATAACATTTTAGCTATTAGTAAAAAGCATTTTGTTATACAACTTCTGAATAATTTTCTTTTAAAATTATATTTATAAGGGCCTTTGTTTTTTGGTTAAATTTACAATATATGTTAGAAGAAATCTGATTAATTTTATTTTTACTTCTTTTTGCAGCAGTAAGATTAAGAAAATTGTGCATTCAATTGTATCATCCTTTGCATTTGGGTATGTGAGACACAGAAAACACCATGTATTAAATATATCTGAGACTTGGCTGGGTGTGGTGGCTCACGCCTGTAATCCCAGCACTCTGGGAGGCCGAGGCGGGCGGATCACATGAAGTCAGGAGTTCAAGACCAGCCTGGCTAACATGGTGAAACCCCATCTCTACTAAAAATACAAAAATTAGCCAAGCATAATGGTGGGTGCCTGTAATCCCAGCTACTCAGGAGGCTGAGGCAGAAGAATCGCTTGAACCGAGGAGGCATAGGTTGCAGTGAGCTGAAATTGCACCATTGCACCTCAGCCTTGGTGACACAGCAAGACTCCATGTAAAAAAAAAAAAAAAATGAGTCTCATATATATCTATACATACATATATATATATATGAGACTTAATACTTCAATGAGAAACACTGAAATAAAATAACAAAAAAGCATTTCCACTGTCCATCAGTTGCTAAGTAGCCATGTGCCCCATCTAATGTAATCTAATTTATCATGGAATTTTGGTTTAAGCTGGACATTAAGAATTGCAAATAAATGGCTTTTGCCTAAGATTAATAGTAACATATTGTTTTTCTTCCATCTGCAAAAGTAACATTAATGAAAATCAAATGTTAAAATTCTGTAATTATTAGTAAAGTGTTTTATTAGTACCTTATACATCTGGAATTACTCTTTAATTCTGGAAACTATTTATTTAGACTACATAAGAGTAAGATTTCATACTATATGATATAGATTTATGCAATATAATTGTTTCCTTTTGAATTAATAATATTTGAATTTGAGCTGCAAGTTTTTAAAAAAGTACTTCAAAGACTAATTCACCTTCATAGATTAGGCAAATAGTCGAATCAATTTATGGAGAATGTATTTGGAATATGTAACAGCAAGTGGCAGGAGGTACTTTAGAGTTCAAGACTCATGTGCCCATCACTCTGCTCGAAGCACCCATAAAGATGAAATCATGGACTTGTTGAAAATGTCACTGATGAAAAATCTTGGTCTTTTAAGAGCTTATGTTACTCATGCTTTCATTTGGTTTTTATTAATAAATTCTTTAGAATTATCCAGATTAATGAGGGTTTATTTTTTATGAGAAGTTGGTATAAACTTCTTATGAAATTCTCACATTTTAAGAAGAGTTTGTAAACAGACACAGGTGATTTTAATTCAGTTTTACTTTTTCTCTCTTGAGGTGTTGGTCTGATGTGTCTACTATAAAAGGCCATGATAATATCTTCTGAAGTGGTTTGGTGAGAATTTTGTTTATTAAGAACTGCTTCTATTGGGTGAAAACAGTGATTTTTCTGAGATTCTAAGGCATTACAGTTTTTCCTGCCACTGGGCAGCTTAATACTAAATAATAACATTTTGGTACCTGATCAGTGGCTTAAATATAGTATAGCTATAGGGACAAATGCCCCTTTATCTTTGCATTTATTTATTTATTTATTTATTTATTTATTTATTTATTTATTTATTTATTTTAGACTATTTGGAGTTTTCCTCGTCTTACTGGATGTCACTCTCGTCCTTGCCGACCTAATTTTCACTGACAGCAAACTTTATATTCCTTTGGAGTATCGTTCTATTTCTCTAGCTATTGCCTTATTTTTTCTCATGGATGTTCTTCTTCGAGTATTTGTAGAAGGGTAAGTTTGATTATTTTTATAATAAGAACCACTTTGGGAGGCTGAGGTGGGAGGATCCCAAGGTCAGGAGTTCGAGACAATCCTGGCCAACATGGTGAAACCCCGTCTCTACTAAAAATACAAAAATTAGCTGGGTGTGGTGGTGGTTGCCTGTAATCCCAGCTGCTTGGGAGGCTGAGGCAGGAGAATCATTTGAACCTGGGAGGCAGAAGTTGCATTGAGCCGAGATCATGCCATTGCACTCTAGCCTGGGTGACAGGGTGAGACTCCGTCTCAAAAGAAAAAAAAAAAAAAGCATTTAAAAATAATTAACAGGAGCATTCACTGCAAACTGACTTAAGAGCCTTTGGGCCTTATGAGAACATTGGTGGTAGTCTGGCAGTACCTCCCCATGGCCTGTGTTTGAGGTGGCCCTGGATTGATGCTCCTCTGTCTTTGGACAGGGGTGGAAATAGTGGGAGGGACTGCATCTTGTGGTTTGAGTGACAGCTCAGCCATAGCACAATAAAACACTACGTAGACTTTTACAGTTTTTGATCTAGGCCCTGATTCCCAGACAGCACCTTTGGATCCACCTGGAGGCTAGGAGAACTTGCCATCCTGAAGGGAAGGACACAGGCCTGGCTGTTTTTACCATGTGATGACTGTAGAGCCCCAGGGCCTTCAGCAAACTCATGCAATAGCTAAGGAGTGGTTACAGCAGGTCTTGGGCAAGACCCCGTGCTGTGCTGGCCTCAGGTCTGACCCAATGCAGTCACAGTAGTGGTGGCCACAGAGGTGCTTATGTCACTCAACCCCAAGCTTTAGGTGCCTCAGAACAGAGAGAGAGACTCTGTTTGTTTGGGAGAAAGTAAGGGAAGAAAACAAGAGTCTCTTTTTGGTAATGCAGAGAATTATCCTGGATCTTGTCCAAGACCATTAAGGCAGTACCGCTATGAGTCTGCAAGAACCAGAGTTTAGGAGGCTTGGGGTGCCCCCTAAAGCAGATAGAGATTAGATCACAGTATCCAAGTTCTTTCAAGTATCTGGAAAGCCTTCCCAAGAAAGATGGGTACAAACAAGCCCTGACAGTGAAAACTACAATAAATACAGTGAAAACTACAATCAATACCTAACTCTTCAATGCCCAGACACCAAAGAACATCTGCTAGCATCAACACTATCCAGGAAAACATGACCTCACCAAATGAACTAAATAAGACACCAGGGGCCAATCCTGTAGAAACAGAGATATGTGACCTTTCAGACAAAGAAATCAAAATAGCTGTGTTGAGGAAACTCAAAGAAATTCAAGATAACACAGGGAAGGAATTCATAATTCTATTAGATAAGTTTAACAAAGAGATGGAAATAATTTAAAAGAATCAAGCAGAAATTCTGGAGCCAAAAAATGTAATTGGCATGCCAAAGAATGCATTAGAGTCTTTTAATAGCAGAATTGATAAACCAGAAGAAAGAATTAATGAGCTTGAAGACAGGCTATTTCAAAATACATAGAGGAGACAAAGGAAAGAATAAAAAACAATGACGCATGCCTACAGGATCTAGAAAATAGCCTCAAAAGGACAAATCTAAGTGGTATTGGCCTTAAAGAGGAGGTGGGGAGTGTAGAAAGTGTATTCAAAGGGATAGTAACGGAACGTCCCAAACCTACAGAAAGATATCAATATCCAAGTACAAGAAAGTTATAAAACACCGAGCAGATGTAACTCAAAGAAGACTACCTCAAGGGATTTAATAATCACAGTCCCAAAGATCAAGGATAAAGAAAGGATCTTAAAAGCAGCAAGAGAAAAGAAACCAATAATATACAATGGAGCTACAATATATCTGGCAGCAGACTCTTTAGTAGAAACGTTTCAGGCCAGGAGAGAGTGGCATGACATATTGAAAGTGCTGAAGGAAAAAAACATTTACCCTAGAACAGTGTATCCAGTGAAAATATCCTTCAAAGTGAAGGGGAAATAAACACTTTTCCACACAAAAGCTGAGGGATTTTGTCAACACCAGACCTGTCCTAGAAGAAATGCTAAAGGGAGTATTTCAATCAGAAAGATAAGGACATTAATGAGCAATAAGTAACAACCTGAAGGTATAAAACTCACTGGTAATAGTAGGTATACAGAAAAATGCAGAATGTTATAACACTGTAACTATGATGTATAAACTACTCTTACTCTAAGTAGACTAAACTATGAGCCAATCAAAAATATTAACTACAACTTTTCAAGACATAGATGGTATAATAAGATAGAAATAACAAAAAGTTAAAAAATAGGGAGACAAAGTTAAGTTGTAGAGTTTTTATTAGTTTTCTTTTTACTTGTTTATGAAAACTTATAAGATTAAAATAATGGATTATAAGATAGTATTTACAAGCCTCATGGTAACCTCAAACCAAAAAACATAACAATGGATACACGAAAAATAAAAAACAAGAAACTAAATCATATCACCAGAGAAAATTACCTTCACTAATGAAAGACAGGAATGAAAGAAGGAAGAGAAGACCCCAAAACAACCAGAAAACAAATAACAAAATGGCAGGAGTAAGTCCTTACTTATCAATAATAACATTGAGTGTCAGTAGACTAAACTTTTCAATCAAAAGATAGAGTGGATGAATGGATGAAAGAACAAGACCCATCCAGGTGTGGTGGCTCACGCCTGTAATCCCAGCAGTTTGGGAGGCCAAGGCAGGCAGATCATGAGGTCAAGAGCTAGAGACCATCCTGGCAAACATGGTGAAACCCTGTCTCTACTAAAAATACAAAAATTAGCAGGGTGTGGTGGTGCGCACCTGTAGTCCCAGCTACTCAGGAGGCTGAGGCAGGAGAATCACTTGAACCCGGGAGGCAGAGGTTGCAGTGAGCCGAGATGGTGCCACTGCACTCCAGTCTGGTGACAGAGCAAGACTCCAGCTCAAAAATAAATAAATAAATAAATAAATAAAATAAAATAAAAAGACCCATTGCTCTGTTGCCTACAGGAAACACTCTTCTCCCATAAAGACACATGTAGGCTGGAAGTGGTGTCTCACTCCTATAATCCCAGCACTTTGGGAGGCAGAGGCGGGTGGTTTACTGGAGGTCAGGAGTTCAAGACCAGCCTGGCCAATATGGTGAAACCGCGTCTCTACTAAAAATACAAAAAATTCGTCGGTCATGGTGGCGGTCGCCTGTGATCCCAGCTATCACCACTGAAACTCCTTTCAGTTTTCAGAAACAAACTGTAGGTGACCAGAAGCGTTATCCGCTAAGCGCACCACTTTAAGTCCCTGACTTAGAGCCACAAGTGTTCTGTTTACCTATTGTTACTACTCTTTTCACTCTGGCAAACAGATTAATTCACACAAAATTTTATTTGAATGGCTTTTCAATTTATCATAACAATGGTTACTAAAAAGTGAGAGAATATGTACTAAGGGTTGAGTACAAGTTAGTGCTAGTAGAAAATAAGAGCCTTAATAGAGAAAAAACTAGTTCTAATCAAAGACTGGATTTAGTCAATGATGTTTATATTTTTAGCTTACATTTATAGCTTCAGAAACATTTTGTTACTGATATTCCTATCATAATTATTGTTTCAAAAATTCTCTAGTCCCTAACCTTCCTTTTTTCATTAAACAACTGTTTTAAAATTAAACTGTTATCTTGAAGGTTTTTTTTTCTTTTGAGACTGAGTTTTGCTCCTGTAGCCCAGGCTGGAGTGTAATGGCACAATCTCGGCTCACTGCAACCTCCAGCTACCAGGTTCAAGTGATTCTCCTGCCTCAGCCTCCCAAGTATCTGGGATTACAGGCATGAACCACCACGCCCAGCTAATTTTTTGTATTTTTAGTAGAGATGGGGTTTCACTGTGTCGGCCAGGCTGGTCTTGAACTCCTGACCTCAAGTGATCTGCCCGCCTTGGCCTCCCAAAGTGCTGGGATTACAGGCATGAGCCTGGGTCCTCAGCCTTGAAGATCTTATAGAAAAAAGCAACTACTGTGTTATAGAATAACAAACTTTAAATAGAAACAAAGACATTTTAATACAATCTTAATTACTCTGTGAACATGTAGATTAACCTTTAAATATAGGCTTTTTTTTTTCCTCAAAACAGGATAAGAGTTATCTTCTCATTTTTAATTTCCAAGTTGAAACTACAGATGACTATGTTTACTGAATCACATTTCAGGATCTTAAATCTTCGGACAATTATGTGTTCTTTTTTTCTTCACATTTTTGGAACTCCCTCAGATTTAACATCAATTAAATAACCTAGCTAAAACCTTGAACTCTTTTCAAAACAGTAAGTGGTAGAATAACAATAATTTCATACTCATAGTTTTAAAAGAATTAAACAACTGGATTTGACAGACATTTTCACAATTTTTTGTTGTCATGCAATTTTGGATACAGCCATTCTGCATGGTTTCACAAAGTTGGCATAGAGAAATATAAGTTTCCTAAGTTGAAACGGAAGATTATAAAAGAGGGAAGGAGAATGAGAGTAAGAGACTGGTTAAAGATGCAAAGGATTTCCACTTCTTCATTGTTATGTAAATGTGTCTGCTTTTTAAAAAGCACAATCACTGAAAAATCTATTTGGATAATGCCTTCACTCTATGCAACTATATCTGACTACAGGCTGAGCACCCTTAATCCAAAAATTCTGAAATGCTCCAAAATGTGAAATTTTTTGAGTGCCAACATGATGCCAAAAGTGGAAAATTCCACACCCGACCTTCTGTGACAGGTTTGCAGTGAAAATGCAGGTATACAACATGAAGATGAGGTCAGGGAGTCATCTAAGACAAAAACCATTGTTAATAAGGCAGATGACTCCATAGGGAACTTTTTTTTTTTTTTTTTTTTTTTGAGACAGAGTGCAGCTCAGTCGCCCAGGCTGGAGTGCAGTGGTATGATCTCAGCTCA
The DNA here is from genome assembly GCF_000001405.40 of Homo sapiens. Taxonomy (NCBI): domain Eukaryota; kingdom Metazoa; phylum Chordata; class Mammalia; order Primates; family Hominidae; genus Homo; species Homo sapiens. Next base: position 38,356,479 of record NC_000022.11, on the reverse strand, counting down.
CTGCAACCTCTGAGTCCCAGGTTCAAGCGATTCTCCTGCCTCAGCCTCCCGAGTAGCTGGGACTACAGGCATGCATCACCACGCCCGGCTAATTTTTGTATTTTTAGTAGAGACGGGGTTTCACCATGTTGGTCAGGATGTTCTCAATCTCTTAACCTAGTGATCCGCCCGCCTCTGCCTCCCAAAGTGCTGGGATGACAGGTGTGAGCCACCGCGCCAGGCCCATAGGAAACATTTTTAAAAGCCGGCCGGCAGAATGTCTCCTTAGCCTTAACGGACCCGCTTCCTGGTCCCTCAGCTGCTTCTGATGTTTCTTCTTGCCTAAGAAAAAATAAAATGTGGTGTACAGTAAACTTTTAATGAAAACACAGCATCCCAGGAGACTGAACGCCTGCCGCTGTGTGTTTCCACTGTTCAACAGCTGACACAGGGATTCTGATGCCGCTGCTGTGCTGCTTAGTTTCTCTGAACACTTTTTTTTTTTAACTGTACTAATGGTATGTCATTTTTTCTATTGTTAAGCACTCATGTGTGAATAAGTGTAAGAAAATGATGGCTTATCAGGAGCATATAAATTCAGAGTCAGGAGCTAGGCACGGTGGTTCACGCCTATAATCCCAGCACTTTGGGAGGCCGAGGTGGGTGGATCACCTGAGGTCAGCAGTTCAAGACCAGCCTGGCCAACATGGTGAAACCCCGTCTCTACTAAAAATACAAAAGTCAGCTGGGCATAGTGGCAGGCGCCTGTAATCCCAGCTACTTGGGAGGCTGAGACAGGAGAATCGCTTAAACTTGGGAGGCAGTGGTTACAGTGAGCCGAGTTCGCACCATTGCCCTCCAGCCTGGGTGACAAGAGAGGACGACGTGTTAGATCACTTTCAAATCCACACCAAGTGGAGACTCTGCTGGATGGGCGGAGCGCAGGCTGGCTCCAGGCCTTCCTGTTCCTGGCTCCGCCACCACCGGGCACGCTCAATTTCTTCCCCTCACATTCACCCAGAATGGGTCTATGTCCAGCCTGGTGGGGACCCTGCCTGGGCTGGGGGCTTGTCTCCCCACCAAAGAGGAGATATAGCAGGTACAGGCACCAGCACATGGCGGGGCTCAGAATATCCCCGCTGGATTGAATATGTGACTTCAGTCCATAGAATGAGAGGCTCCTGGCCGGGCGCAGTGGCTCATGCCTGTAATCCCAGCACTTTCGGAGGCTGACGTGGGCAGATCACGAGATCAAGAGATCAAGACCATCCTGGCCAACATGGTGAAACCCTGTCTCTACTAAAAATACAAAAATACAAAAATTAGCTGGGTGTGGTGACACGCGCCTGTAGTCCCAGCTACTCGGGAGGCTGAGGCAGGAGAATCACTTGAACCCAGGAGGCGGAGGTTGCACTGAGCCAAGATGGCGCCACTGCACTCCAGCCTGGGAGACAGAGGGAGACTCTGTCTCAAAAAAAAAAAAAAAAGAATGAGAGGCTCCTGGCCCAGCCTCACCTGCTGATTAGCGGGATGTAGAGGCTTTCTAGTGCTGGCTTCAGATCTTGTCACTCCACTGTCACCTTTGTTGTCTCCAGTGCCCACCTCTAAACTATTGTATTAAAATTATAGAATAACATGTTTTTAAATCAGCTTGCTTTTTTTTTACTTGAACAATTTTATTATTTTATTTTTGAAACTGAGTCTCACTCTGTCACCCAGGTTGGAGTGCAACGGCGCGATCTCAGCTCACTGCAACCTCTGCCTCCCAGGTTCAAGCGATTCTCATGCCTCAGCCTCCTAAATAGCTAGGATTACATGTGTGTGCCACCACGCCCAGCTCATTTTTGTATTTTTAGTACAGATGGGGTTTCACTATGTTGACCAGGCTGGTCTCGAAATCCTGACCTCAAGTGATCCGCCCGCCTTGGCCTCCCAAAGTGCTGGGATTACAGGCGCGAGCCACTGTGCCTGGAACAATTTTATTTTAAAAGGAAACTTCCTATCCCTACATAAGTGGAAACCAGTATCAACTTGCCACATATGGAAGGTAAAAGTGAAAAGAAATAGAATGAAGTCAAACAAGGAGTTTCTATTCTAGCCAGGTACTCCTGCTGGTCAGTGCTGGGCCCAAGGCCCAGGACCTGCCTCTCTGACTTTTGTTTTGGTTTCATTTGTTTTTTTTAGGGGGACAGGGTCTCACTCTTGCCCAGGCTGGAGTGCAGTGGTGCGATCTTGGCTCACTGCAACCTCAAACCCCCGAGCTCAAGCAGTCCTCCCAATTCAGCCTCCCAAGTAGCTGGGACCACAGGCACACACCATCATGCCGGGCTAATTTTTGTATTTTTTGTAAAGAGGTTTTCACCATGTTGCCCAGGCTGGTCTGTAATTCCTGGGCTCTAGTGATCTGTCACCTCGGCCTCCTGAAGTGCTGGGATTACAGGACCACAGCCAACCTCTGCCTCTCCATTGACGAGGTTGATAAGGTGGTGTAGACGGCTAGCACTCGATGGAGACCTCCTGACCCCATCAAAGGGAAGGGGAAAACACAGGAAGCTCTCCCACTGTGTGGTCAGGGCTAGTACCAGCTCTGTCCCTGGGCCTTGACAGGGCCTGGAGACACCTTTGGGAGGAGCAGTTCCAGCCCAAACTCCTGCAAGGGAGGGATGGAGAGGGGAGAGGCTGAACACAACCCACCTGGAACCCGGGGCTGGGCCCGATGCTTTGAATACCAACTTAATCTTCACAACAGCCTGTGAAGGGTGTGTGTATGCACGCGCGCGTGTGTGTGTGTACACCAATTTCTTGCTGAGAAAAAGGAGGCTCAGAGAGGTTAAGGCATTCGCTGGAGTCCACAGCAACCAAGCCGCTGGAACCCCTCCGCCGGGTTCCGAGGCCCTCGCTGTTCTCAGGCCAGCGCAGAATTGGTCCCAGGGCTGGACTCCTCCAGGTGGGGCGCCCGGAGCACTCCCGACCACCTGCTCCAAGGACACTGCCTCCTGGAAGCGTCCCTGGTTTCCCTTCGGAGGTGAACTCGTTCAGGGCACTTCTCGGAGTCGCAGTCTCAGGTGGCCAGGGCAGGCCTTCTCCCTATGGGTGCTCCCCACGTCCGCCCTGGGCTTGGCAATGAGAAGCAGCCCCGCCCCGCGTGACCAGGACCCGCCTGCAGCGCCCGCGGCGGCCACACGGGGGCAGCAGGCGAGCGCCGCCCGAATTCCCGGGTCCCAGCCTGGGCTGGACCGGAGGGCACTGGCGGGTTGCCTCGCCCCAAGAGCCTCAGTTTCTCTGTCTATATAATGGACTAGGCTGTCTGCCAGGGCCTTTTTGGTCCTAGCAATCTGACCCCAAGCGAGCTTTATTAACAAATAGAAAAAAGAAGACATAAAAACAAACAGCCGGGCGCGGTGGCTCATTCCTGTAATCCCAGCACTTTGGGAGGCCGAGGCGGGCGGATCACCTGAGATCGGGAGTTCGAGACCAGCCTGACCAACATGGAGAAACCCCGTTTCTACTAAAAATACAAAATTAGCCAGGCGTGGTGGCACATGCCTGCAATCCCAGCTACTCGAGAGGCTGAGGCAGGAGAATGTTTGAACCTGGGAGATGGAGGTTGCAGTGAGCCGAGATTGTGCCATTGCACTCCAGCCTGGGCAACAAGAGCAAACTGTGTCTCAAAATAAAATAAAATAATAAAAATAAATAAATAAATAAAACAAATGCAAAGGGGTGTTTGCTGAGTGTCCCTGATGGGTCCCACAGAAAAGTCCAGGCCCAGGTGGAGACCAAGAGCCAGGAGAGCACCACGAGTCCCCTGAGGTCACACCTGACTCCCAGCCCAACTCTGGGCCAGTGGAAACCCTCATGTCCAGATGGGGAAACTGAGGCCCAAATGGTATGGGGACTTGCCCAAGCCCTCAAATGGAGGACAGGGCAGAGCTGAGCCTGGGACTCTCACCCAAGTGGTCTCCGGGGGCCTCCCTCTAAGTCTAAGGACTTAGCAACCCCTTCGCTCACGTTTTTTGGATTTTTTTTTAAGGCAGAGTCTCTCTGTTGCCCAGGCTGGAGTGCAGTGGCACGATCTTGGCTCACTGCAACCTCTGCCTCCCGGGTTCAAATGATTCTCCTGCCTCAGCCTCCCGAGTGGCTGGGACTACAGGTGCCCACCACCATGCCCGGCTAATTTTTGTATTTTGAGTAGAGATGGGGTTTCGCCATGTTGGCCAGGCTGGTCTCGAACTCCTGACCTCATGATCTGCCTGCCTCAGCCTCCCAAAGTGCTGGGATTACAGGTGTGAGCCACCGCGCCCAGCCTGTTTTTTGGATGTCTAATGGAACCAGAACTGGCGGTCCCTTCTGTTTATGGACCCGTGCACACAGCAGGAAGGAGAGGCTCCAGAGGCCCTGGACTCGGGGGACAACCCTCGCTTCATCACCTCCTGAGGGTCCACCGCAGCCAGCCCTGGGCCTTCTGCCCCTTTCACTCCAAGATCTCTGGGCTGACCTTCATCAGCCCCTTCCACCCGCCTCAGGAGGTAGGGACAAGGCTGGGGGTGGCCTTTGCAGACCCTGAGAATGAATATTGTCCTGCATACACAGCCCAGTGGCCACGAGAGGCCGACGAAGATACTGAAGGTCACAGAGGGCCAGAGGCGGGGCCAGGGCTTGAGCCACCCTCTCTCCAGGCCCGTCTATACCATTGGGCTGCCCCCTTCAGACCTCCGGGCAGGAAAAGAAGGTAGAGGGGATATTCACTGAGCCCCCGCCTCGAGCCTGGGCCCGACCTGGGGTGTTTGCCTTACTGGCCGCTCCAGCCAGTGTGAGAGGCTGCACTATCATGCACCCCACTGACAGGTGAGGAAGGCGCTGTGACCACCAGAGGAGTGAGCAGACTGGAATTTGAGCCCAGGTCTGCTCAGCTCCTACACCCGGCACTGAGCTTCCGGTCTGACCTGGCTCTTGGGCAGGGGCCCTGCAGGCCGCCTCCCTATGTGGCCCCAGAGTCCAGAGAGCAGCAAGGAGAGTAGGTTTCTACGGTGACCTGGGCAAATGAAGACACTAACCTGTGCCTCAGTTTCCCCAGCCCTTCCCACTCACAGCAAAAAAAGAAACGAGGGCCCTTCAGCCCACCCAGGTCCCATGTTCCAGTGCTGATGTTGGGGACAGCCTGGGGCCCAGCCTCAGGAAGGCTGTGTGAACAGCTTCCTCAGCTGGGAAGTGAGGGCAAGACTGGGAAGGCCCTACAGCCACTGGATCTGGGGCCATGTTGGGGGGCCAGTGAAGGGGGCACCCCAGGCTAGTCTTCCAGGAGCTCCCTGGTTGGGGGGACAAGGAAGGACACAGGCAGGGACAACCAGGGCCACACTCAGGGCCATTGTGAGGGACAGGGATGGGGCTGTTGCCATCGTAGTGACAGAGCTGTGGTATGCTCCTGCCACCTTGCATTCCAGCCCAGGCTGCTCCCATCTTTGGCAGAGGGTGGGAAAACACATGATCCTGCCTTCCAGAGACTGTACTGGTCAGAGAAAGACATCAGCAGGAGAGCCAGAGATTCCTCCTCCTCTCCATCATCACCATCACCATTATTCTCATCACCATCACCGTCACCGTCATCATCATCATCACCATCATGGACTTCAAAGAAGTTCAAAGAATTTCCTCCTCTGGCCAGAGTGAATCCTGTTCTGTGGAAGCAGGAGGCTGGGTGGGAAGCCCTGTGGAGGCTCCACCCGTGTTTGGGTTCTGGGCAGGGATCTGGGGACAGGGGAGGCCTAATGCTTATTGCAGAAATTCTCTGCCTGGGAAGTCAGGATCACTCCTTGGAGGAGGCAGCCTGTCCTCTGAGCTTTCAGGAAAGGAACTGGTTGTGTGGTTCCCTGTAAGCTCTGGAGATGGGGCGGGCAGTAGGGGGAGGAGCACAGCAGTGTGGATGTATTAATACTTAGTGCTGGCCGGGTGCGGTGGCTTACGCCTGTAATTCCAGCAGTTTAGGAGGCCAAGGCAGGCAGATCACCTGAGGTCAGGAGTTCAACACCAGCTGAGGCAGGAGAATCGCTTGAACCCAGGAAGCAGAGGTTGCAGTGAGCCAAGATCACGACATTGCACTCCAGCCCTCCAGCCCAGGCAACAAGAGTGAAACTCCGTTCCCCCCCGCAAAAAAAAAAACTTAGTGCCACAGAACCTACGCTTAAAACCAGCTAAAATGACAAATCTTATATGATAGGTATTTTACCGCAATTTTAAAAATTATTTCCTGGCCAGGTATGGTGGCTCACATGTATAATCCCAGCCCTTTGGTGGCCATGGTGGGAGGATCCCCTGAGGCTAGGAGCTTGAGACCCGCCTGGGGAACATAGTGAGACCCCGTCTCAACAAAAATTTTTTAAAAATTAGCCAGGTGTGGGCCGGGCACAGTGGCTCACGCCTGTAATCCTAGCACTTTGGGAGGCCGAGGTGGGCGGATCACGAGGTCAGGAGATCGAGACCATCCTGGCTAACACGGGGAAACCCCGTCTCTACTAAAAATACAAAAAATTAGCCGGGCATGGTGGCGGGCGCCCGTAATCCCAGCTACTCGGGAGGCTGAGGCAGGAGAATGGCGTGAACCTGGGAGGTGGAGCTTGCAGTGAGCCGAGATTGCACCACTGCACTCCAGCCTGGGCGACAGAGCAAAACATCGTCTCAAAAAAAAAAAAATTAGCCAGGTGTGGTAACGTGCGCCTGTAGTCCAGCTATACAGGAGGAGGTTGAGGCTGTAGTGAGCCATGATTGCACCACTGCACTCCGGTCTGGGGGACAGAACAAGACCCTGTCTCCAGAGTAAATAAATAATTTTTACTTAAAAAATTAAAGAGTCCAGGTGCAGTGGTTCATGCCTTTAATCCGAGCCCTTTGGGAGACTGAGGTGGGTAAATTGCTTGAGTCCAGGAGTGTGACACCAGCCTGGACAACAGAGTAAGACCCTGTCTCTACAAAAAATAAAAATATCAGCTGGGTGTGGTGGTGTGTGCCTGTGGTCCCAGCTACTTGGGAGCGTGAGGTGAGAGGCTTGCTTGAGCCTGGGAGGATGAGGCTGCAGTGAGCTGTGATCACACCACCGCACAGCCTGGGTGACAGAGCGAGACCCTGTCTTAAACACAACAACAACAAAAAAATGAGGTCTTACTGCCCAGGGGCCCATTACCCTGCTATCTCCCAGCCCTCCCCACACAGAGTCACGTGGACAAGATGCTACGCGCTCACAAGGCCTCTTGGTCACCGTAACTCAGGGAGCCTTAGAGTCTTACCATCCGCCCTGCACCTACCCCAGCTGTCACGCACATCCCTGCCATCTGGGAAGACCCTGAGCTCTGTCCTCTGCTAAAAACCTGCTAGGACCCCTGTGGTCTACAAGACACAGTCCAGAGGCTTTGGTCTGGCATTTAAGGCTCCTGGCACTTGACCCGCTGACCTCTCCCATCACTCCTTGTGCAGGCCCTGCCCTAGCCCTGTGGGCACCTGTACCCAGCTCAAGGAGCAGCTTCGGAGCAGCCTCCCAGCAGCCTCTACTTCCGTCTAGACCTCCATACCTTGCCCGTCCCTGCTACCCCTTGGCCTTCGCCTTCCCTTCCTCTAGGAATGCCCTTCCCCAGCCTGGCAGGCTGACCCTGCTCCCTCCTCTGCCTCCTGGATGGCTCACAGGGGCATCCTCTGATGGCCCTGTCTTGACAAATTCCAGGCCCTTCCTGGTGCCAACACAAAGTAGGGGCTCAGCTGGAATCAGCCTACGGATTGGTTCACTGCAGACTTCCTGTCCAACCTCTGAACTCCATGGAGGAGGTGGGACTGGTAGGGACAACCCAAGAGAGTCAGGACCCCTGGGTTCCTGTCCTGCTCGAGCTTTGTTGTGTGACCTCAGGGAGGTGTCTCCCCTTCTAGGAAATGTGGCCTCCTGGGCAGCCAATCCCACAGGATGTGCTCCGTCAGAGCAGCAAAAGCGGGGACAGAGGGAATTATCAAGGCCATGACCCGAGGGTGGGGCACGGTCAGGTGACAGAGTGACAGGTGCATCATCCCCATAGCAGAGTTAGCTGGGTGCTGACACTCACTCACCACCTCCCGCCTCTCAGAGCTATGCTCAGTGCTTAGCCAAGCCTGTCCTGGCCTGCCTGAATGTCAGGGAGTGACCAGAACTTAGTCACCAGAATTACCCTCTTCGTCACCGCCTTCATACTCATCCCCATTCTCCTCATCACCGCCGTCACCCCCGTGCCATCAGCATCTGGAGGTTCAAAGAATTTCCTTCTCTGGAGGATGCCTCTGGCCAGTGACAAGCCTGCTCTCTGTATACAAGGTGGCCTGGACTAACAGACCTTTCCAGACTCTGTCCCTGACCTCCCCAGGGGTGTGAGGGGGGACAGGAACCCACTTTCCTGAGTACCTGGTATACACCAGGCATTGGGTTTTGTCTTCATAAGCTTCAAGGCGGGAATCTTAGCCCCATCTTATAGACTGGAAGACTGAGGCTTGGAGAGGTGGAGTTGCACAGTCGGGAGCTCACATGGTGGGGACTCAACTGAGTCTGCTCACCTCCAGCTTGCTCTTCCCTCCGCTTTTAGGCAAAAAGCAAAAGTGAGCGAAAAGCCTGTCCTCCGAAAGCCACCCCTTCTCAGCCCCATGGGCTTGCTCTTGCTGTCCCCTGCCTGGGGGTCCTCTGTGCTCCGAGGCAGCTGGGGTCAAGAGCCAGGCCCTGTAGCCCCCTTGCCAGGGTTCAAGACTAGCCATGTGACCTTGAGCAAGTCACTGACCCCTGCCACCAGGGTTCTCCAGCCATTGTTAAGTGGGGATGCTAATAACACCAGCCTCCCAGGGGCAGAGTGTGAAAAGCATTTAGGACAGAGAGGGGCACGGGTTGGCCAGGAGAATGATCATTTCCCCACCAGGTCAACGCCACCGCCTCTGCACTGCCTTCCTGGCCATCATCCCAGGTAGAGCTGCCCTCTTCCTTCTCCGCAGCTTTTCTCATCCTGCAAAGCAAGGGTGAGTAGCCTCCCTGCCTCCTCCTCACCCCTGGCCCTGCATCTCTTGAGGGCAGCAGTCTGCGGGGGGGTCCGCCAGGCTCCTGCTCATGCCCCTGGCAGGCCCTCGGATCTGCTGACACTTGAGTGAGCAAGTCCTCTTCCGTTTCCCCCTCCCACTCCTGTGGCCACCTGTCACCTCCTGGGAGTGCCGGGCATCCTCTCTGACCTTCTACCGACCCCAGCTCAGCTGAACCTTGTGTTCCGTGAGCTGAAACCCTCCAGCCCTCATCCCTCCTTGCTTCTAGCACAGGATGAGGGCCCCCTATGATCTCTGCACACCTCCTGGGCTCAGCCTGGAGTCCTGATATTCCCTGCCCACTGGCCACGTGACCTTAGGCAAGGCCTAGCCCCTCTGGGAGCCCTGGGCCATTCAACTGTAAAAGAGGGAAGAGACCCCCTTGCCTTCATGGACCGTTCTGAGGATTACAGAGAGAAGGTGGGAGCTCTTTGTAAACTGTAAAGCCTGGTGCACTTTGGAGATCTGGCCTTGTGGGTGCTCATTGCTGGCCGGAATGGGGTGGGGTGGTGGATGACTGGAGTCAATTGGGAAGCACCTGCCTTGTCTGAGAGAAGAACTAAGCTCGATGTCCCAGTGGGGCAGAAGCGTGAGTCCCTCAGCCTTGGAATCAGAAGGCCTGGGGTCGGTTCCACTGAATTCACTCCCATCCTGCCCCAGCCCCTGCTTTGAGCTAAGACCTCTGTCCAGCGCCCGGACCCAGGTGAGCCCCACAGTCCCTGTCCCGAAAGAGCTGAGAGCCTGCTGGGGAAACAGTCCTAGAAACACCTCGCTAGCACCCAGTGTGGACCCAGAGGAAGGGGCTCCTAGGAGAAGTGGCCCAGGGCCCAACTCGGAAGGAAGCAGCCTTCAGAATCAGCCGCTGGAGCTGCGGGACTCGCCCACGGCCCTCAGGACTCCCTGGTAAGGTCCACGGAAGCTTCGGGGAAGAGGCAAGTGAAGTCTTCCAAGAAACTGCCATAATTCAATCAGAAAAAGAACCCTGTTAATTTAGTCAAAGAACCAGTTAATTGAATTTCTTTCCAAATCCAGGCCTATTCAGAAAGCCAGTGAATTCAATGCCTACTAAATTTAAAGTCAACTCTCCAAGTAATCTAATGAATGGCATGGCCAGCTGAGTCAAGTCCCCAATAACTCTGCTTTGAAATTGTCCAGTCCCGTGACCATCATTCAATCGGCTTAGCTTTTCTTCTTTTTTTTTTATTAAAGTGTAATTTGGGGAAACAATGGTCCACTTTGGTCAAACGACCAGAAAGTTGACGCTGAAGAAGGCCGGCGCCAGTAAAATGAGAAATTGGTCATGCCTAGCTGGGGGTGGCATTGTGTGGTGACAGGGCTCAAGGAGGGTGTTAGGTCCCCACTGTACCCCAGCCAGTGAGCCTGGGGTGTCCTTCTCGCACTCTTTGCCTCCATTTCCACATCTGCAAACTGGAGAGGCAGCTGAGCATTCAATCAGGAAGCCAAGGGGAGCGCCCTCCCAAGGATGCCTGGTGGCAGGTCCCCTTCCCTCACCATTCTGCCATCACCCTGGGCCTTGTGGGAGAGGAGCCTGCAGATTCTGTTGACCCAGTTTCCTTCTCTGTAAAATGGGGAAATTGGTCATTTAATTTAATTCGATTTATGGAATGGAAAATATTTTCACAGACATCAAAATTCAAAAGTTGGGCGGGCACGGTGGCTCACCCCTGCAGTCCCAGCACTTTGAGGCTGAGGCAGGCAAATCGCCTGAGGTTAGGAGTTCGAGACCAGCCTGGCCAACATGGTGAAACCCCATCTCTACTAAAATACAAAAAATCAGCCGGGCGTGGTGGTGCACACCTGTAATCCCAGCTACTTGGGAGGCTGAGGCAGGAGAATCGCTTGAACCTGGGAGGCGGAGGTTGTAGTGAGCCAAGATCACACCACTGCACTCCAGCCTGGGCAACAGAGTGAGACCCTGTCTCAAAAAAAAAAAAGAAGTTACCAAAGAGGGTACAGTACAGTCTCCTTCCCTCTCAGTTTCCCTTCCACCCTGTCCCCAACCTTTGTATTTTCTTTCCTAGGAACAGTCTCTTACTATTCTTAGTCATTTTTATATTATATTATTAGTATTTTTCTTATTGATTTGTAACTGCTTTTTATATACTAAAGAAAGCATGGGCTGGGTGCGGTGGCTTACGCCTGTAATCCCAGCACTTTGGGAGGCCTTGGCGGGCGGATCACGAGGTCAGGAGACCAAGACCATCCTGGTTAACATGGTGAAACCCTGTCTCTACTAAAAATACAAAAAATTAGCCGGGTGTGGTGGAGGGCGCCTATAGTCCCAGCTACTCGGGAGGCTGAGGCAGGAGAATGGCGTGAACCCGGGAGGTGGAGCTTGCAGTGAGCCGAGATTGCGCCACTGCATTCTGGCCTGGGCAAAAGAGCGATACTCTGTCTCAAAAAAAAAAAAAAAAAAAAAAGCATGACTCGCAAATATTTTTCTTCTGGGCCCATCCAGAGATGCTGTATGTACATAGAAGCAAATACACATATATTTCAAGGGGCACTTTGAATCTAAGTTTGCTGGGGCTCTTTTCAAGTCAATGGTCCGGGTGAATCTCTGTGGTCTGAATCTTGAAGCTGGAGCTAGGACCAGAGCTGGGTGACCTCTCACCATTCTGGGCTGGGAACGACTCACCCTCAGTTCCATCTCTATCCGTTTATCTTAGGCCTTTGAGGGGAGGGACTGCACCTGAGTACAGCACCCAGGCGTCTTCTGCAGCCCACAGAAGGTTCAGCTTAGGGCTGGACGCAGTGGCTCACACCTGTAATCCAAGCACTTTGGGAGGCCGAGGCGGGCAGATCATCTGATGTTGGGAGTTCGAGACCAGCCTGACCAACATGGAGAAACTCCATCTCTACTAAAAATACAAAATTAGCCGGGCGTGGTGGTGCATGCCTGTAATCCCAGCTACTTGGGAGGCTGAGGCAGGAGAATCGCTTGAACCCGGGAGGCAGACGTTGCGGCGAGTCGAGATCTCACCATTGCGCTCCAGCCTGGGCAACAAGAGTGAAACTCTGTCTCAAAAGAAAAAAAAAGAAAAGAAAAGAAGAAGAAGAAGGTTCATCTTCAGACTCCTAGTCCAGAGCTCTCAGCAATCCTCATCTTGTAATGCTGTCTACAGACTCCAAGTATGCAATGGGCCAAGCCACACCCTCTCCCTCTTCCTCCTGCCCAAGGGCAGAGATTCATGGAAGGTTGTCTGTGATGAGGAATGGAGTCGTTGCCCCGGCCCAAATCGCACCCCAGGCCTGACTCAGTTGGTGGGCCTCTGCCTTTACTGCCTTGGCAAACTCCTACACATACTTGAAGGCCCAGCTGCAGTGAAGCTCCTCTGGGAAGACTTCGTGACTCCCATCCCTTCTCTCTTATGGCTCTGATCACCTTGTCCATGTCTACACTTACCAGAGCAAGAACCGTGTTTTCTGGTTTCTCGGTCCTCCAGGATCTCCCAACGTGAATTAGCAACCGATGCATCAAAGGTGGCACCTCGGCCGGGCACGGTGGCTCACGCCTGTAATCTCAGCACTTTGGGAGGCCGAGGTGGGCAGATCATGAGGTCAGGAGATCGAGACCATCCTGGCTAACATGGTGAAACTCCGTCTCTACTAAAAATATAAAAAAATTAGCCGGGCGTGGTGGCAGGTGCCTGTAGTCCCAGCTACTGGGGAGGCTGAGGCAGGAGAATGGCGTGAACCCGGGAGGCGGAGCTTGCAGTGAGCTGAGATTGGGCCACTGCACTCCAGCCTGGGCGACAGAGCAAGACTCCGTCTCAAAAAAAAAAAGGTGGCACCACCACCATTTTGGGGCCTCCTCAGTTTCCTCATTTGAAAAGGAGGAACATAATATAAGGCCAACCACAGAGGGTTGTTGAGAGGATTAAATGAGTCAGCTCATGAAAAGCCCTTAGAACAGTCCCAGGCGCAGAGCAAGGGCACAATGTGTAGTTGCTATCGATTATGACTAGTCTTGGGATCTTGAGCAAATCCCTTCTCTTCTTCGTGGCCTCCGTTTTTTGGTTTTTGTTTTTTGTTTGAGATGGAGTCTTGCTCTGTCACCCAGGCTGAAGTGCAGTGGCGCCATCTTGGCTCACTGCAACCTCCGCCTCCTGGATTCAAGCTGTTCTACTGCCTCAGCCTCCCAAGTGGCTAGGACTACAGGCGCCCGCCACAATGCCCGGCTAATTTTTGTATCTTTTAGTAAGTATGGGGTTTCACCATGTTGGTCGGGCTGGTCTTGAACTCCTGACCTCAAGTGATCTGCCCGCTTCAGCCTGGGATTACAGGTGTGAGCCACTGCTCCTGGCCAGTTTTTGAGGGTTTTTTTTCTTTTTTCTTTTCCTTTTCTGTTTTTTGAGATGGACTCTTGCTCTGTTGCCCAGGCTGGAGTGCAATGGCAAGATCTCTGCTCACTCAACCTCTGCCTTCTGGGTTTAAGTGATTCTCCTGCCTCAGCCTCCCGAGTAGCTGGGATTACAGGCACCCACCACCACGCCCAGCTAATTTTTGTATTATTTAGTAGAGACGGGGTCTCACCATGTTGGACAGGCTGGTCTCGAACTCCTGACCTCTGGTGATCCACCTGCCTTGGCCTCCCAAAGTGCTGGGCTTACAGGCATGAGTCACTACGCCTGTCTGGGCCAGTTTTTTAATCTACAAACTGAAGGGTGAAATTGCATGCCTGGTCAATGATCACCAATGGATGCTAAATCCACTGGGTAAAAGATTGATGGGAAACTTTGCAGCAGAAGGATGAGGCTAACAACACCTAAAGCCACTGATTAACCTTAAGGTCACTAAAAGGTAGGGCGGCCCGACCCTATGGGCCTCCTTCTCTGGTGCACCAGGAAGGACACAATGTCATCTATGAAATATTCTTTTTTTGGCCGGGCGCTGTGGCTCACGCCTGTAATCTCAGCACTTTGGGAGGCCGAGGCACGTGGATCACGAGGTCAGGAGATTGAGACCATCCTGGCTAACACGGTGAAACCCTGTCTCTACTAAAAATACACAAAAATTAGTCGGGTGTGGTGGCGGGCACCTGTAGTCCCAGCTACTCGGGAGGCTGAGGCAGGAGAATGGTGTGAACCCAGGAGGCAGAGCTTGCAGTGAGCTGAGATAGCGCCACTGCACTCCAGCCTGGGCGACAGAGCCAGACTCTGTCTCAAAAAAAAAAAAAAGACTCCTTTTGAGAAGGAGTCTTGCTCTGTTGCCCAGGCTGGAGTGCAGTGGTGCAATCTCTGCTCACTGCAACCTCCCTCTCCCGGGATCAAGTGATTCTTCTGTCTCAGCCTCCCAAGCAGCTGGGATAACAGGCACCCACCACCATGCCCTGCTAATTTTTGTATTTTTACTAGAGACAGGGTTTCACCATGTTGGCCAGGCTGATCTGGAACTCCTGACCTCGTGATCCACCGGCCTTGGCCTCCCAAAGTGCTGGGATTACAGGCGTGAGCCACCACACCTGGCCAAAATATTCTTGATAAAATCATTGTTGAATTCAAATCAAATCAAGCTACCAGCCTCTAGGGTCTACACTTGATTACCAGCTTAGGGAAATATGGGGGTAGTGGAGCACATTTAAAAAAAAAAAAAAACCCGAGGGCTGGGTGCGGTGGCTCACGCCTGTCATCCTAGCACTTTGGGAAGCTGAGGGGGGCAGGTCATCTGAGGTCAGGAATTCAAGACCAGCCTGGCCAACCTGGTGAAACCCTGTCTCTATTAAAAATGCAAAAATTAGCTAGGGATGGTGGTGAATGCCTGTAATACTAGCTACTTGGGAGGGTGAGGCAGGAGAATCTCTTGAACCCAGGAGGCAGAGTTTGCAGTGAGCCGAGATTACACCACTGCACTCCAGCCTAGGCGACAGAGCAAGACTCCGTAAAAAAACAAACAAACAAACAAAATACCCACGAGGGCTGGACGCGGTGGCCTGTAATCCTAGCACTTTGGGAAGCCAAGGTGGGCAGATCACTTGAGGTCAGGAGTTCAAGACCAACCTGGCCAACGTGGTGAAACCCTGTCTCTAGTAAAGCTACAAAAATTAGCCAGGCGTGATGGCAGGTGCCTGTCCCAGCTACTTGGGAGGCTCAGGCAGAAGAATCGCTTGAACCCAGGAGGCAGAGTTTGCAGTGAGCTGAGATCACACCACTGCACTCCAGCCTGGATGACAGAGACTCCATCTCAGAAAAACAAAACAAAACAAAAAAAAAACCCCAACAAGGATGCAGTCGACTAAATCCAGACTGTGGGGCTCAGTCTAGAATCTTACTCGGTGACGAAAAGGAAGGAGGACCTGACACACATTACAACATGGATGAACCTTGAAAACACGACACTGAGTGAAAGAAGCCAGACGCTGTCTCCATTTACATGAGCTGTCCAAAAGAGGCAAATCCAGAGACAAAAGTCCATTAGCGGTCCCCAGAGGCTGGGGGGAGGGCTGAAGTGGGGAACGACTGCGAGTGGAGATGGGGTTTCTTTTTTTTTTTTCTTTTTTTTTTTTGAGGCAGAGTCTTGCTCTGTGGCCCAGGCTGGAGTGCAGTGGCGCGATCTCGGCTCACTGCAGGCTGTGCCTCCCGGGTTCACACCATTCTCCTGCCTCAGCCTCCCGAGTAGCTGGGACTACAGGTGCCCGCCACTACCCCTGGCTAATTTTTTGTGTTTTTAGTAGAGACGGGGTTTCACCGTGTTAGCCAGGATGGTCTCGATCTCCTGATCTCGTGATCCGCCTGCCTCAGCCTCCCAAAGTGCTGGGATTACAGGCGTGAGCCACCGCGCCCAGCTGGGGGTTTTTTTTAGGTCAATAAAAATATTGGGGAATTAGGCTGGGCATGGTGCCTCACGCCTGTAGTCCCACTGCTTTGGGAGGCCGAAGTGGACAGATTGCTTGAGGTCAGGAGTTCAAGACCAGCCTGGCCTACGTGGTGAAGCCCCATCTCTACCGGAACTACAAAAATTAGCCAGGCATGGTGGCAGGTGCCTGTCCCAGCTACCCAGGAGGCTGAGGCAGGAGAATCGCTTGAACCTGGGAGGTGGAGGTTGCAGTGAGCTGAGATCATGCCACAGCACTCCAGCCTAGGTGACAGAGTGAGACTCCATCTCAAAAAAAAAAAAAATTGGGGAATTAGATAGTATTAGTGGTTGCAAAACCTTGTGAATATACTAAAAGCTACTGACATTTTCTTTTCTTCTTTTGAGATGGACTTTTGCTCTTGTTGCCCATGCCGGAGTGCAGTAGCGCAATCTCGGCTCACTGCAACCTCTGCCTCCCTGTTTCAAGTGATTCTCCTGCCTCAGCCTCCTGAGTAGCTGGGATTACAGGCTCCTGCCACCATGTCCATCTAATTTTTGTATTTTTCGTAGAGACAGGGTTTCACCATGTTGGCCAGATTGATCTCAAACTCCAGAACCTCAGGTGATCTGCCCGTCTTGGCTTCCCAAAGTGCTGGAATTACAGGCTTGAGCCATTGTGCCCGGCTATATATAAAATATATATTTTATATATTGTATAAAATATATATTTTATATATTGTATAAATTATATATTTTACATATTGTATAAAATATATATTTTATATATTGTATAAATTATATATTTTATATATTGTATAAATTATATATTTTATATATTGTATAAATTATATATTTTATATATTGTATAAATTATATATTTTATATATTGTATAAATTATATATTTTATATATTGTATAAATTATATATTTTATATATTGTATAAATTATATATTTTATATATTGTATAAATTATATATTTTATATATTGTATAAATTATATATTTTATATATTGTATAAAATATATACTTTATACATTGTATAAAATATATAATTTATACAATATATAAATTATATATTTTATACAATGTATAAATTATATATACTTTTATATATTATATATTTATATGTAATATATATATTATGTATAATATATATATTACATTATTGGTGGATGGGCCTGATAGCTGACCTCTCAGTCTTGCAGCTTGAACTCTGGGAAGCTCTGTCCTCCCTGGGTCCTTTCTGGGTTGGCACTGCCAGCCTCAAAGCCCCCTGGGTGGGAGGAAGGGGCTCCCCCTCAGGAAGAAGGCAGGGTGAGACTCCTGCCCCTCACACTCTGTGGTTTCCTTCCACACTGCCTTTTTTTGAAGCTGTTGCCCAAGGGTAAACAAACTCTGCTCCTTGACTCCCTTTAGCCCAGTGGGGGCTGGTAGCCTTTTAGCCTGGTGGCTAACCAGGAGTTTGCCTAAGAGGCCCTGTTGGGCTTAGAACAGAAAGGCCTCTGGCCCTTTCTACACATGTGACTTTGGGAATCAACCTCTCAGACCCTCCTTTCCTCATCTGTAACATGAACAAATAAGAATTCCTACCCCAGGACTATGGCAAGGATTACATGAAAGAGGCTTATCCTAGATTATAGTAGGTGCTCAACTAATGGGAACTTTTTTTTTTTCTTGAGTCTTGCTCTGTCACCCAGGCTGAAGTGCAGTGGCGTGATCTCAGCTCACTGCAGCCTCCGCCTCCTGGGCTCAAGCCATTCTCCTGCCCCAGTTTCCTGAGTAGCTGGGATTACAGGTGCCCGGCATCATGCTTGGCTAATTTTTGTGTTTTTATTTTTACGTTTTTATTTATTTTTATTTTTTAGATGGAGTTTTGCTGTTGTCACTCAGGCTAGAATGCAATGGTGTGATATCAGCTCACTGCAACCTCCGCCTCATGGGTTCAAGCAATTCTCCTGCCTCAGCCTCCTGAGTAGCTGGGATTACAGATGTGTGCCGCCCTGCCTGGCTAATTTTTGTATTTTTAGTAGAGATGGGGTTTCACCATGTTGGCCAGGCTGGTCTCAAAGTCCTGACCTCAAGTGATCCACCTGCCTTGGCGTCCCAAAGTGCTGGGATTACAGGTGTGAGCCACCGTGCCCTGAAACTGGGAACTTTTTAAGGAATGAAGAAACTTAGCTGGGCGTAGCGGCTCACGTCTGTAATCCCTGCACTTTGAGAGGCCAAGGCAGGCGGATCATCTGAGTTCAGGAGTTCGAGACCAGCCTGGCCAATGTGGTGAAACCCCGCCTTGACTAAAAATACAAAAATTAGGTCGTATGTGATGGCTCACGCCTGTAATCCCAGCACTTTGGGAGGCCAAGGCAGGTGGATCACGAGGTCAGGAGATCGAGACCATCCTGGCTAACATGGTGAAAACCTGTCTCTACCAAAAATACAAAAAACTAGCTGGGTGTGGTGGCGGGCACCTATAGTCCCAGCTACTCGGGAGGCTGAGGCAGGAGAATCGCTTGAACCTGGGAGGCAGAGGTTGCAGTGAGCCGAAATTGCACCATTGCACTCCAGCCTGGGCAACAGAGCAAGACTCCGTATCAAAAAAAAATTTTTTTTAATTAAAAAAAAAGAAATGAAGAAACTTTATAAAAGTGATATAAGCTTATTAGATGTTGAAAAAGCAGGAAAACAGAAGGATAATAAAGAAGCCTCATAGTGCCACCACCCAGAAATAATCGTAGTGAACATTTTCCTTCCAGACTCTTCCTTGTGCATAAATTGTTTTGCTTTTAAGTATAGCTGTGACCCTGCTGTCACCACACATTGACATCCTGCTTTTATTCTCTTCATATTATAACATATTTCCTCATATTATTATAAGCTGTTTGTAAACATAACTTAATGCTTGCATAATATTCTATCGTGTGTTTGCTCTGTTAAAGAACCCCCTTCTCTGGACACTTAGACCAGCCCCAACCCTCCCCATTATAAAGAACTCCACAATGCCTGGGTGCAGTGGCTCACGCCTCTAACTCTAGCACTTTGGGAGGCTGAGGTAGGTTCATCACTTGAGCCCAGGAGTTCAAGACTAGCCTGGGAAACATAGTGAGACCCCACCTTTTTTTTTTTTTTGAGACAGGATCTCACTCTGTTGCCAGGCCGGAGTGCTGTGGTGCGTTCTCTGCTCACTGCCACCTCCCCCTCCCAGGTTCAAGCTATCCTCCTGCCTCAGTCTCCCAAGTAGCTGGGACTACAGGCATGCACCACCACACCCAGCTAATTTTTGTATTTTTAGAACACACGAGGTTTCACCATGTTGGTCAGGCTGGTCTTGAACTCCTGACCTCAAGTGATCCACCCACCTCTGCCTCCCAGAGTGCTGGAATTACAGGCATGAGCCACCACGCCTGGCCAGAGACCCCATCTCTACAAAAGATGGAAAAATTAGAAAGGTGTGGTGCTCGCCTGTAGTCCCAGCTACTCAGGAGACTGAGGTGGGCAGATGGCTTGAGCCCAGGAGTTCGAGGCTGCAGTGAGCCGTGATCACACCACTGCACTCCAGCCTGGGCAACAGAGCAACACCCTCCCTGCTTCAAAAAAAAAGTAAATAAAAAGATCTCCACAATGAACAGGTATTCTGCATGACTTCCTTGGAAGAGATTTCCAGAAATGGAATTGCTGCCCTAAGGCAAACGCTAATTTACGACTCTTGGGCAGCTGGAACCTGTCCGACAGAGCGGAGACCCTTATCTCTGCCACCACCAGCAGGCTGATATTTTCAAGAAAAAAATTTGCCAAATACAAGCAGTCTCAGATAATACAAAGAAGATGGAAAGTTTCCGGAGCGCAGGTGTCAGATCCAAAGATAACTTGACCCAAACACCCCGATCTCCATGTCCCTATCTCTCTCTTAGGTGTTGGAGCGGGCCGGAGAGAAGTAGAGTGGGCTGCGAGGAGAAGGAAACAGGCCTTTCGGAGGCTCCTCATCCCTCGGAGGTCATCCCTTACTCCAGGTGATCTGAACCTGAAGTCCGAGGCCCCAAGAGTTCTAAGTAACCCAGGGGTGGAGGTGGGGTGGGGGATCCCAGCTCTTTCCGATCTGGGAGATCAGAAAGATGCTCATCTGGGAGAGTGGGACCTCCCCTTTCAGTCCGCCCACCCCCGAGGACCGCACTTGGAGGGCCGCACTTGGAGGACCGCGCCTCCAAGGCGGGCGCGGCTGACGCCCGGGGCCCAGGCCATGTGGGGCGTGCGTGCCGGGAGAAGTGTCCCAGCGCCTCACCCCGCAAGCATGAGAACCACGAAACCCCCGGGGCCGGGAAACCGGGGCGGGGCGGGGCGGGGCGGGGCCGGGAAGCGGCGCGGGGCTGGGCCGGTGACGTCGCGGCCCCGCCCCCGGCCGGCTCCCTCCTCCCGGAGCGCTCCCCAGCGGAGTCCTCACCTGCAGGCACAGGTGTGCGCACTTCGCATCTCGAAGGCCGGCCAGCAAGCTTCAGGTGAGCGCCAGCAGCAGCTGGGGGTAGGTGCTGGGAGGAGGAGGGCCCGGGGTGGGGGTCCTCACTCGACGGAGAGGAGAACCGGGTCAAAGGAGAGGAGGAGGAGGTGGGCGTGGGTCTGTGGAGATACTGCCTGCTCCCCCCAAATCCTCCCTTGTCTCTGGGTTATAGTCACGTTGTCCTGAAAACGTAGACTTTGGAGGGAATTGAAGGAGAGGAAGTTGAAGAGGAAGCAGCAGGTTTCCAAATATTTCAACCGCAAATGTATTGTTATCATTCTTCTTATTATTTATTTGTTTGTTTTGTTTTTTTGAGACGGAGGCTCACTCTGTTGCTGGCACGATCTCGGCTCACTGCAACCTCTGCCTCCCGGGTTCAAGAAATTCTCCTGCCTCGGCCTCCCTAGTAGCTGGGATTACAGGCATGCACCACCACGCCCGGCTAATTTTTGTGTGTTTTTAGTAGAGACAGGGTTTCGGCTGGTCTCCAAACTCTGACCTCAGGTGATCCGCCCTCCTCGGCCTCCCAAAGTGCTGGGATTACAGGCGTGAGCCACCGCACCCGGCCCTATAATTCTTTTTATTATTATCATTATTATCATTGGTGCCTTTTCTTTGTTGTAAAACTGTATGCCGATTGACTATTTGGCAAATGTAGAAAAGTAGGAAAGAAATCATCCATAGTACCAGGACACAATCACTCTGGATATTTTGGTGTGTTTCCTTTCAGTCTTTTTTCCATGCACAACCATTTTCATATAATTTTATCATACTGTATCTGCAACTTTTATGTCCTGCTTTTCCCTTGAATATTGTGTCATAAGCATTTTCTCGTTGTGGTGAGTCATTTGTGTATGTGTAATCATTGTTTTAATGGCTGCATAATGTAACATTTGAGAGATTGACCATGGTTGGGTACCATTCTGAACACTCCATGGAAGATTATGAAGGGAGACCGGGAGATGTAACAGAAAAAAACAGGCCAAGACCTCCACCGCCAACACTGGGATCTGGATAAAGACCTTTGCTCTCTCTAACCATGAGTTTCCACATCTGGAAAGTGGGTACATAGAGCTACCTCCCCAGGGTGTTGTGAAGATTAAATGAGCTAAATTATGTAGGCCCTGTCCCCACAAACACCGCCATCATGGGTCTGGCAGAAAAAGGGTCTGCATGTTTGTGTGTTTGTAGAAAGGACTTGGACCAACTGAAGGTATTGAGGGACCAGAGAACGGGAAGTGCTGGGGAGAGAAGGACGGGGATGAGCTCTTGGGAAAACCCCCAGAATGAAGACATCTCTGAGTCTGGGCCAGGTGGACACGAACCACTAGGTCGGCGCATATCCGCTCCTTGTGGGCTGGGAGCAGACAGGATCCCTGAGCCAGGGCCAATGACCTCCAGGCCTCCAGATGGGTTCGCCCCTTTGGGATGAGTTTCTGGGCAAGCTTCAGAGTGAGGGGATTAGAAGAAAAATAGGAAGGGGTGAAGGTGGGGCATAGTAACCAACCCCTTGTACAGATGAGGAAACAGGCTCAGAAGACAGGTGATTTGTTCAAGATCCACATGGGAAACAGTAACCGAGTCGGTTTGGCCCCCAGGGCTCCTAACTCCCTCAGGGGTGTCTACACCAAATGCCTGGATGGGGGAGTTAGGGAGAGGAGGATGTCAGGGCTGGGTCATCAGCTGTACTTGTACCAGGCTAATCTTTGCTTAGAGAAAACAGAAGTCTCTGTGCTTTGGGCCTCCGTTTCCTCAACTGTGAAATGGGAATAATAACTCCCCAGCTACCTACTTACCAGGCCCTCCTCCCACTTTGAAAGGCCTGCTCAGTCTCTGACTGTACACCCCCACCCTGGCCCCTCATCTTCTTAACTCCCTGGCCATCTTCAGAGGGGGTCTGGGTGCTGGGAACCTGTGGCCACACCTCAGTGGGATAGGAAATCCCCATTTCCCAGAGCCATCCATTTCTAGACCCTGGGGGGCTTGCTCCGTTTCTCTAACCGGGCTTTTTTGTAATGTGCACCCACAGCACGCTCTCACTGGATGAGAGCAAAAGGGCTCTGAGCCCTGTTGGGAGTGTCTGAGCATTAGCATTAAAATAATCTTGTAGAAAGGGTCTGTGACCCCCCCCTCAAGGTCATCCCTTTCTGCCTGGCTTGCCACTCCAGGACAGGAGTCTGGTTAGCAGGCTCCCCTAACAATTGGGTATCCAGGGGTCTCTGATGTTCTAAAACAGAATTAGGACAGTCATCTTCCAATTCACAGAAAATTGGAAGTGGTTCATTACATAGTCACAATGTTAGTCATTTGGAATAACAGCACCAGGACCCAGAAGCAAGTCGCTGCCTTGGGCCTGGGAAATGACACTTTCTGAAACTTTCACAGCCCCACAACATGTCTGTTCAAAAATCTGATAGCTAATACTTATTGAGGACCTCGTGTGGCTGTCTCTTGTTCTAGGCACTTTAGAGTCATTCTACGAAATGGATACATATTATTTAATTTAATTTAATTAATTAATTTGTTTTTGAGATGGAGTCTCCCTCTGTTGCCAGGCTGGGGTGCAGTGGTGCGATCTTGGCTCACTGCAACCTCCACCTCCCGGGTTCAAGCGATTCTCCTGCCTCAGCCTCCCGAGTAGCTGGGATTACAGGCACACGACACCATGCCTGGCTAATTTTTTAATTGTAGTAGAGATGGGGTTTCACCACGTTGGCCAGCCTGGTCTCGAACTCCTGACCTCAGGTGATCCACCCGCCTTGGCCTCCCAAAGTGCTGGGATTACAGGCATGGGCGACACAGGGAGACTCCATCTCAAAAAAAAAAAAAAAAAAGATACTGAAACTGAGGCACAGAAAGGTTAAGTAAGTTGCCCAAGGGAAGCCAGGATTCAATCCCAGTCTGTCTTAACTCCAGACCCCTCATCACTAGGCTACACTGCCTCTCTAACCTAAGAGGGTGTCTGACATACATCTGTGTTCTCAGACATCTCTCTGTTGTTTTCTGCACAAGGCATCAGAGCTTTCCCGAAGAATCCCTGCACTCTGTCAGTGTCTACTGACATCCCTGTCTCTGTCTTAGCCCTGCTCACACTAATTTATAATGACCAGTTCCTAGGTTTGGGTCTCCTTGAGTAGGTCAGCTCCACCGTGCAAGACCCATGTACATTTCATCTCTGGACCCACCGAAAGGCCCAGCCAGGCCCAGCTCTGTAGCTGAATTAATAACTAGCCAGGCCAAGGCCCTGTAGGTGAATTAATAACTGCAGCTACTATTCACATGCCAGGCTCTGAGCTACGGGCTTTATGCACAGCAGCTCTTTGATTTATTATTATTATTATTATTATTATTATTTTGAGATGGAGTCTGACTTTGTCGCCTGGGCTGGAGTGCAGTGACACGATCCCAGCTCACAGGAACCTCCGCCTCCAGGGTTCAAGCGATTCTCCTGCCTCAGCCTCCCAAGTAGCTGCGATTATAGGCACCAGCCATCATGCCCAGCTAATTTTTGTATTTTTGTAGAGATGGGGCTTCACCATGTTGGCCAGGCTGGTCTTGAAATCCTGATGTCAGGTGATCCACCCTCCTCAGCCTCCCAAAGTGCTGGGATTACAGGCATGAGCCACCTCGCCTGGCCACAGCAGCTCTTTTAATCCCCACTGAGGTGGGTGCTATTGCCACCGCCATTTCTTAGATGAGGAAACTGAGGCTTAGGAAGGTCCTATAAACTCATCCAGCCACATAGCCTGGAGCTTAAAGTAGCCAATTAAGAATTTGAATCCAGCCTCTTGAAGCAGAGTGTTGTTTTTTTTTTTTTTTTTTTTGAGACAGGGTCTTGCTCTGTTGCCCAGGCAGGAGTGCAATGGCGTGATCATGGTTCACTGCAGCCTTGACCTCCTGGGCCCAGGCGAGTCTCCCACCTCAGCCTCCCAAGTAGCTGAGGCCATGGGCATGCACCACCATGCCCGACTAATTTTTTTTATTTTTGTAGAGAGAGAGTCCCCTATGTTCCCAAGCCTGATCTTGAACTCCTGGGCTCAAGTGATCATCCTGCCTCGGCCTCCCAAAGTGTTGGGATTACAGGCGTGAGTCACTGCGCCAGCCTGAAGTAGTCTTTATCATTGCTGCCCCTCAAGTGAGAACTCGTTCCAGGGGTCTCCAACACTAATGCAAACTGTGGTTGCATACCCCATCTGGGAAAATGTTTTTGATCTGCAGGACTACATATGAAAGGAAACAAAATAAAGACTGAAAAAAACCCACAAAAATATTTTTGAGCATTCGTTTTGTATTTAATTGTATATTTAGTATTTATAACTTAGGTATATGTGTTCTGCTGTGTTCATAAGCACATTATAAAACATACATTAGGGGCTGGGAACAGTGGCTCATGCCTGTAATCCCTGCAGTTTGAGAGGCTGAGGTGGGCTGCTCACTTGAGGCCAGAAGTTTGAGACCAGCCTGGCCTACATGGCAAAAACCCATCTCTACTGAAAATACAAAAATTGGCCAGGCACGGTGGCTTATGCCTGTAATCCCAGCACTTTGGGAGGCCGAGGTGGGTGAATCACCTGAGGCCAGGAGTTCGAGATCAGCCTGGCCAACATGGCAAAACCTCATCTCTACTAAAAATACAAAAATTAGCCGGGCATGGTGGCTTGCGCCTGTAGTCCCAGCTACTCGGGAGGCTGAGGCAGGAGAATTGCTTGAACCCGGGAGGCGCGGGTTGCAGTAAGCTGAGATCGCGCCACTGCACTCCAGCCTAGGAGACAGAGCCAGACTCCGTCTCAAAAAAAAAAAAAAAAAATTAGCCAGGCGTGGTGGCACAGGCCTATAGTCCCAGCTACTCGGGAGGCTGAGGCATGAGAATCGCTTGAACCTAGGAGGCAGAGGTTGCAGTGAGCAGAGATAGAGCCACTGCACTCTAGCCTGGGCAACAGAGCAAGACTCTTCTCAAAAAATAAATAAATTTTTAAAAACCTACATTGAAGTAGAATATTTAGCGGGCTCAGATTAAAAACTGAAGAATACAAATTCTGATTTTTTTTCTTCTTACACCCCACTGGGTTAGTTAGTGAACCTGATGGGGTGCAGACATCTGCCTGGGAGTCAGCTACCTTAACGGTCACCAGAATCCCTGTGCTTCTGGAGTGGTGGATCGGACTTGTGGTGTCCTGAGAGGGGTGCCCAGTTACCATGCATTGAGGGAGACAAAGGCAGAAGGTGCCCAGTCCCCAAGGCAGGGTGAGGCTCCAGGCTAGGTCTGGAGAGGAAAACAGAAGTTCTTCCTAAGCGATTTTTTTTTTTTGAGATGGAGTCTCACTCTGTCACCCAGGCAGCTAGAGTGCAGTGGTGTGATCTTGGCTCACTGCAACCTCTGCCTCCCGGGTTCAAGTGATTCTCCTGGCTCAGCCTCTTGAGTAGCTGGGGCTACAGGCACACGCCACCATTCCCGGCTAATTTTTTGTATTTTTTAGTAGAGATGGGGTTTCACCATCTTGTCCAGGCTGTTCTTGAACTTCTGAGCTCGGGCAATCTGCCCGCCTTGGCCTCCCAAAGTGCTAGGATTACAGGCATGAGCCACCGCGCCTGGCTGGCTTTTTTCCTTTTTTTGAGACGGAGTCTCTGTCTCCCAGGCTGGAGTGCAGTGGCATGATCTTGGCTCACTGCAACCTCTGCCTCCCGGGTTCAAGCAATTCTCCTTTCTCAGTCACCCAAGTAGCTGGGACTACAGGAGTGAGCGACCGTACCCAGCTAATTTTTTTTTTTTTTTTTTTGAGACGGAGTCTCGCTCTCTCTCCCAGTCTGGAGTGCAGTGGCGCGATCTCGGCTCACTGCAAGCTCTGCCTCCTGGGTTCATGCCATTCTCCTGCCTCAGCCTTCCGAGTAACTGGGACTACAGGCGCCCGCCCCCACACCCTGCTAATTTTTTGTATTTTTAGTAGAGACGGGGTTTCACTGTGTTAGCCAGGTTGGTCTTGATCTCCTGACCTCGTGATCCACCCGCCTCGGCCTCCCAAAGTGCTGGGATTACAGGCTCGAGCCACCGTGCCCAGCCTTTTTTTTTTTTTTTTTGAGATGGAGTTTTGCTCTTTCACCCAGGCTGGAGTGAAGTGGCGCAATCTTGGCTCACTGCAACCTCCACCCTCTGGGTTCAAGCGATTCTCCTGCCTCAGCCTCCTGAGTAGCTGGGATTATAGGTGCCCGTCACCATGCCAGGCTAATTTTTGTATTTTTTTTAGTAGAGATGGGGCTTTGCCATGTTGGCCAGGCTGGTCTCGAACTCCTGACCTCAAGTGATCCACCCGCTTCGGCCTCCCAAAGTGCTAGGATTACAGGCGTGAGCCACCGCGCCTGGCCAATTTTTTTTTTTTTTTTTTTTGGACGGAGTCTTGTTCTGTCACCCAGGCTGGAGTGCAGTGGCACAATCTCGGCTCACTGCAGCCTCTGCCTCTGGGGTTCAAGTGATTCTCCTGCCTCAGCCTCCTAAGTAGCTGGGAGTACAGGTACGTACCACCATGCCCAGCTAATTTTTTGTGTTTTTAGTAGAGACAGGGTTTAACCATGTTAGCTAGGATGGTCTTGATCTCCTGATCTCGTGATCTGCCCACCCCGGCCTCCCAAACTGCTGGAATTACAGGCGTGAGCCACTGCGCCAGGCCCTTCCTAACTTTTATGCATTATTTGGTCAGATTCTCTTAAACTCTCTGAGCCTCGGGTTTCCTCCTTTTTTTTTTTTTTTTTTTTGACAGGATCTTATTCTGTTGCCCAGGCTGGAGTGCAGTGGCATGATCTTGGCTCATTGCAGCCTCGATCTCCTGGCCTCAAGCGATCCTCTCTCCTCAGCCTCCTGAGTAGCTGGGACCATAGGCATGTGCCACCATGCCCAGCTAATTTTTTTATTTTTTGAATAGAGACAGGGTCTCCCTTGTTGCCTGAACTGATCTTGAACTCCTTGTGAACCTCAGGTTTCTACCTGCAAAATGGGCAGGGTGATCTCCAGCTCACAGGATTCCTGTGGCATTTATTAAACCAGATTCAGTGCTGAGTACCCAGTGGGGAGCCTGCACGCTGTCCATCCAGTAAATCCTAGTTTTTTTCTCTCCTCTTGTCCATGAGCAAAACTCTAAGCTGTTCTGAGCAAAGCCATTGGCTAAATCTCCTAGTCAGCTCCTGGGATTAGAGATCCTCTTACCTCTTCCATCCTCTTCAGCCTTCTCCCCTGAGGGAGGCCTGGGTGCCATTTGACTGGTCTCCCCACAGTGGGCCCTTCCCACCCCCAAATATCCGAGGTTCCTACCGTTCAGCTATTGCTCAGGGCTGTTCCTTCCCCCCAGCCAACCACCATCCAGATCCCCCCTACATTTATTTATTTATTTATTTATTTATTTATTTAATTTGTTTATTTTTTATTGAGACTGAGTCTTGCTCTGTCACCCAGGCAGGAGGGCAGTGGCACAATCTTGGCTCACTGCAACCTCTGCCTCCCTGGTTCAAGTGATTCTCCTGCCTCAGCCTCCCGGGTAGCTGGGACTACAGGTGCGTGCCACCACGCCCGGTTAATTTTTTGTATTTTTAGTAGAGACGGGGTTTCTCCATGTTGGTCAGGCTAGTCTTGAACTCCCGAGCTCAGGTAATCTGCCCGCCTTGGCCTCCCAAAGTGCTGGGGGTACAGGCGTGAGCCACCGTGCCCGGCATCCCACCTACTTTCAAGTCCTGCCTCCTCCCTTCCACCCCCGTGTCAACTTCAGAATTTCTCTATAGACAGGGCTTAGGGAGACAGTCTGATGGCAGGGGAAGCAGGGGTCGGAGACTTGTCTCAGTGCTGTATTTGTGTAGCACTTCACATAAAATTACAAGAATAGCAACTGCCCACATCACAAAATGCCCAGGGCGAAGGGGAGACGGCTGCTCGCCAGCCATTGGCACCACCACTGCCCCCAGACACTGACTTTCCTGTGGCGGTCACTGTCTAGCGTATTCTCTCAATACTGTAGGACCCTCTTTTTTCTTGTGTCTATTCAGCCTCTCCTGTCGGATCGTCAGCTCCTGGCAAGCTGGGGCCGGCGCAGACCTCTGAGGCCCTGCAAGGAGTTGGCATCAGGAAATGCTTGTGGGTGAACGTGTGATGTGGCAGGATGATGAGTCGCACCAACTATGCCGAGCGAGGAGCGCTGCTGTGGGCATCGGGATTATTAGTCGCAGCAATCATCCTCATTCCCGGAGCCCAGCTAATGAGTGGTTGTGTGAGCTGGGAACGGGAAGCCCTGGCTTCTCAGAGGACAGAAGGAGCAGGTTTGGGCGCTGGTTGACTGCAGCACAAACAAGGGATGTTGTGATGAGCAGAGGGGTCAGAGGAGCCCATAGGGCCGGGGGTGACAGGCCAAGCTGAGGGAAGGAAGCAGGCAGAGGTGAGCTGGAGGCCGGGCACGGGTGGCCCTTTGGGGATGCCAAGGATTTGTGTAGTGCTCCCTGCTCCTGGGGACACGTGACAGGCGCTCCTGGCTCCTCTGGGAGTTGCAACAGCACAGGGAATGCTGAGTGGAGCAGGAGGACAGAGGGCCCCAGCAGAGCAGGAGGACAGGCAGCCACCGTGAGAAGGGATGGGTGGGGCAAGGTGGCCCTGAGGGAGGGCTGTTAGGGAACATCTGGCTCAGGATGGAAAGTGTCAGGCCCTGCCTTCACCCCTGAGATCACACACACAACATCACCATTGCACAAGTATTTACGGGGCACCCATGACCAGTTGGGTACCCACAGGAGCACCTATGGGAGATTTCTCTGTCTTGGAGAGACCCTAAGAGCATTAAAAATGAACAAGTTAATGTTTCAGCCAGTCATAAGTACCATGAAGAAGATAAAGCAGCTGGCCAGGCACGGTGGCTCACACCTGTAATCCCAGCACTTTGGAAGGCCGAGGCGGGCGGATCACGAGGTCAGGAGTTCCAGACCAGCCTGACCAATATGGTGAAACCCCGTCTCCACTAAAAATACAAACATTAGCTGGGCGTGGTGGTGCGCGCCTATAATCCCAGCTACTCAAGAGGCTGAGGCAGGAGCATCGCTTGAACCTGGGAGGCGGAGGTTGCAGTGAGCCAAGATCGCGCCACTGCACTCCAGCCTGACGACAGACTGACTCCGTATCAAAAAAAAAAAAAAAAAAAAAAAGCAGGATATCCCCAGTACAGGAAGGACAGAGGGGAAGGAAGCCCACTGAAGACCAGTCAAGGAGGGCTTCTGTGCAGAGGTGACTTTTGAGTTGTGATCTGAGCCCTGAGTAGGAGGCAGTCATGGAGGATTTGGGGAGATCATTGTAGGCAGAGGAACAGCCAGGCAAAGGCCCTGAGGCATGGTGAGATGACAGACAGTGAGGGAGGGAGAGTGAGGTTTGAAATGGGGTCTGAGGCAGGCAGGGGCTAGATCATAGCAGGCCCTGGGAAAGAATGTGAATTTCATGCTAAGGGAAGAAGGAGCCACTGGTGTATTTTCAGTAGCCACAGTCAGATCTCAGTGGTTAACAGGCCACTGTAGTAGCCAAGTGGAAGACACACGTGGTAAGAGTGGCTGGGTTCAGAATCCAGTTGGAAGGTAGAGCTCATGGGAGCTGCTCAGGTTTTGAATATGGGGGTAAGGGGTGCGGGGAGAGCCGTTTCCCACTGAGCCCAGATTTGTCACCTCAAGGTCTTTCTCAGCTTAGTGCCCGGGATGTGGAGTGTAGGGTCCTTGCCCATCCAGCCCTGCCCTTAGCTTCAGCTGGGGAGACTGAGAGCTTTAGCACTCACTTTGTCCAGCTCCTCAGAGAAGGGCTGTGGATTCTCCAAGGTCGCGCTGAAATTCAGACTGACCAGGGACCAAACCCAGACCTTGCTACCCTGCCCTGCTGCCTCTCCGCTGAAGATGGAAGAGGAGGGAGGAAGCCCTGGCAGGAGTGACCTGACCGGGCACGGCCCAGTGGTGAGGTTCCCTGGAAGAAGTGCCTGAAAAGAGAGCCTGGGGCCAAAGCTGTGCCCTGGGAATAGTGAGGGGTGGGTAGGATGTCATGGAAGGGTCTGGGGACAAAGAGCCAAGGCCTAGCTGGGTAAGGAGAGGAGAGTGCCCCAGGACAGCATCTTCAGGCTGGCAGGGCTGGGGGCGGGGGAACCTCTGGAGCCTGTGGGCCACAGACTCTCCATGAACAGGGCCTGAAAAGGGGAGGACCCTGAGAAGCTTCCCACCGGGGCCTTCGAGAGCCAAGACCAAGATGGGCAAGGCTAGCAGCTCCCCTGGGCCCAACTAGGTTTGCATATCTCCAACTCCCACCGTAGAAGGGGCTGGCGGTGGCCCCTCCAGAGGAAGGGTGACAAAAGGAAAGGAGAGGCGGGGGATACAGCCTGCAGGGCTCAGGTGCTCAGAGGAGCCCAAGTCAGGAGCCCTGCATTGAACTCTGCTCGGCTCCTAAGAATAGCAACATTGTAATGTAAGCATCTTCCTCTTACTCAGGGCTGCTTCTGGGCTACATTGTTTTTGTGATTTATATTATCCCCATTTTACAAATGAGACTCAAGAATTTTAGGAACTTGCCTAGTGTCACACTGTTACAAAATGGGAGGATACTATTTGTTTTTTTGTTTTGGAGACAGAGGAGTCTCCCTCTATTGCTCTATCGCCCAGGCTGGAGTGCAGTGGTGCCATCTCAGCTCACTGCAACCTCCACATCCTGGGTTTAAGGAATTCTCCTGCCTCCCAAGTAGCTGGGACTACAGTCACCACCACCATACCATGCCAGGCTAGTTTTTTATTTTTTATTTTTTAATTTTTTTTTTTTTTTTTGTATTTTTAGTAGAGACAGGGTTTCACCATGTTGGCCAGGCTGGTCTCGAACTCCTGAGCTCAGGCAATCCACCCACCTTGGCCTCACAAAGTGCTGGGATTACAGGCATGAGCCACGGTGCCTGGCTGCAGAATACTATTTGAAGCTAGCTTCTTTTTTGTTGTTGTTTTTGTTTTTTTGATACAGAGTCTTGCTCTGTCACCCAGTCTGCAGTGCAATAGCGGGATCTCGGCTCACTGCAACCTCCATCTCCCAGGTTCAGGTGTTCTCCTGCCTCAGCCTCCCGAGTAGCTGGGATGACAGGCGCACGCCACCATGTCCAGCTAATTTTTGTGTTTTTAGTAGAGACAGGGTTTCTCCATGTTGGCCAGGCTAGTCTTGAACTCCTGACCTCAGGTGATCCGTCTGCCTCAGCCTCCCAAAGTGCTAGGATTACAGGTGTGAGCCACCGTGCCTGGTCGCAGAATGCTATTTGAAGCTAGCTCCTTAACCATGTGGAGCTGCCATCACATGCTGCCTGTGACCTTGGACAAGGCTCATTCCTTCATTGGGCCTCAGTGTCTCTATCTGTAAAACAGTGGAGGGGGGCCAGGTATGATGGCTCACGCCTTCAATCCTAGCACTTTGGGAGGCTGATGGGGGAGGATCACTTGAGGGCAGGAATTCGAGAACAGCCCAAACAATGTAGTGACCCCATTTGGGCAACATAGAAACCCTGTCTCTATAAAACAACAAACAAAATTAGCCTGTGGCTGGGCGCAGTGGCTCACGCCTGTAATCCCAGCACTTTGGGAGGCTGAGGCGGGCGGATCACCTGAGGTCAGGAGTTCGAGATCAGCCTGGGCAACACGGTGAAACCCCGTCTCTACTAAAAAAAAATACAAAATTAGCTGGGTGTGGTGGCACATGCCTGTAATCCCAACTACTTGGGAGGCTGAGGCAGGAGAATTGCTTGAACCTGGGAGGCGGAGGATGCGGTGAGCCGAGATCACACCATTGCACTCCAGCCTGGGCAACAAGAGTAAATCTCCCGCTCACCAAAAAACAACAACAACAACAAAAAACAAAATTAGCCTGTGATGGTGGCATACACCTATAGTCCCATCTACTCAGGAGGCTAAGGTGGTAGGATCGCCTGAGTCCAGGATTTCGAGCCTGCAGTGAGCTATGATCATGCCACTAAGTTCCAGCCTGGGTGACAGAGCAAGACCCTGTCTCTAAAAAACAAAGAAACAAACACAAAATGAAAAAAGCAGTAGAGTGGAATAAATGAAGCTTGTAGCTCTCCCAACTGGAGTCCACAGTTCCTTCTGTAGCGGATGGGTTCAGGGGCAGGAGCCTGATGGGGGACACCTAGGGCTTTTCTTGAAATCATGTCCACAGCGGGGCATGGTGGCTTACATCTGTAATCCCAGCACTTTGGGAGGCTGAGGCAGGTGGATCACCTGAGGTCAGGAGTTCGAGACCAGCCTGACAAACATGGTGAAACTGCATCTCTACTAAAAATACAAAATTAGCCAGACGTGATGGCACATGCCTGTAATTCCAGCTACTTGGGAGGCTGAGGCGGGAGAATCACTTGAACCTGGGAGGCGGAGGTTGTAGTGAGCCGAGATCGCACCATTGCACTCCAGCCCGGGCAACAAGAATGAAACTCCATCTCAAAAGAAAAAAAGAAATTATTTCTTTTTTTTTTTTTTTTTTTTGAGACGGAGTCTCACTCATCGCCCAGGCTGGAGTGCAGTGGTGCGATCTCAACTCACTACAACCTCCGCCTCCCGGGTTCAAGCGATTCTCCTGTCTCAGCCTCCCAAGTAGCTGGGATTACCGGCGTGAGTCACCACGCCTGGCTAATTTTTGTGTTTTTAGTAGAGGCAGGGTTTCACCATGTTGGCCAGGCTGGTCTTGGAACTACTGACCTCAGGTGATCCGCCCACCACAGCCTCCCAAAGTGCTAGAATTACAGGCGTGAGCCACCACGCCCAGCCAAAAGAAACTATTTCTTCCGTTAGCCTGGGAGAGTGGTTAAGGGCACAGACCCTGGCAGGCCACCCCCAGCCCCAGCCCCCGAGGGTGCAGTGAGAGCTGACCTCGTCAGTACAGGCCACGTGTCTCTAAAGAGCCTGGCGAATGGTGGGTGACAGCACTTGGAGTTGGTCAGAGATCAGGAGGCTGTCTCCTCACCGTCCATTCATTCACTCATCCAGCAAATCTTTGTTAAATACCTCCTATGTGCTGGAATAGATCCTAGATATTGGTGATACAGTGGTGCCCAAAATAGCATTAACTCCTTCCCTTTATGCAGCTTAGACCCCAAAGTAAGGAATGCAGACAAAAAAATAAAAATTCCCTGCAGAGCATGTTAGATAGTGATGTGGAGTTCCCTACAGAGCATGTTAAATAGTGATACAGGCCAGGAGAAAAAGAGACAGGCAGCAGAGGCCCGGCCCGGCCCGGTGGCTCATGCCTGTAATCCCAGCACTTTGGGAGGCCAAGGCGGGTGGACCACCTGAGGTCGGGAGTTCAAGATCAGCCTGACCAACATGGAGAAACCCTGTCTCTACTAAAAATACAAAATTAGCCGGGCGTGGTGGCACATGCCTATAATCCCAACTACTCGGGAGGCTGAGGCAGGAGAATCGCTTGAACCCGAGAGGCGGAGGTTGCAGTGAGCCGAGATCGCGGTGAGCCGAGATCACGCCGAGCCGAGATCGCGCCATTGCACTCCAGCCTGGGCAACAAGAGCAAAACTCTATCTCAAAAAACCAACAACAACAACAACAAAAAAACAGAAACAGACAGCAGAGAAGGGGAAGGCAGTGACCCATGGGGATGGGGTTTTATTATTATTATTATTATTATTTTATTTTTAGTAGAGACAGGGTTTTCCATGTTGTCCAGGCTGGTCTCAAACTCCTAACCTCGTGATCTGCCTGCCTCGGCCTCCCAAAGTGGTGGGATTACAGGCATGAGCCACCGAGCCTGGCCTATTTTTTTTTTTTTTTTGAGATGGAATCTTGCTCTGTCATCCAGGCGGGAGTTCAGTGGCACGATCTCGGCTCACTGCAACCTCTGCCTCCCAGGCTGAAGCAATTCTCCTGCCTCAGCCTCCCAAGTAGCTGGGATTACGGGCGCACATCTCCACTCCTAGCTAATGTTTGTATTTTAGTAGAGATGGGGTTTCACCATGTTGGCCGGCTGGTCTCAAACTCCTGACCTCAAGTGATCCACCTGCCTCGGCCTCCTAACCAAAGTGCTGGGATTACAGGTGTGAGCCACTGTGCCTGGCCTTTATTATTATTATTTTTAAATTATTTATTTATTTTTATTTTTTGAGACACGGTCTCACTCTTTTTTTTTTTTTTTTGAGACAAGGTCTCACTCTGCTGTCCAGGCTGGAGTGCAGTGGTATGATCAAGGGTCACTGCAGTCTCAACCTCCTTGGGCTCCGGTGATTCTCCCACCTCAACCTCCCAAGTAGCTGGGACTACAGGCATGCACCACCACACCCAGCCACCATGCTCAGCTAATTTTTGTATTTTTTGTAGAGAGAGCATTTCGCCATGTTATCCAGGCTGGTCTCAAACTCCTGAGCTCAAGCAACGCCTGCCTCTGCCTCCCAAAGTTCTGGGATTACAGGTGTGAGGCACCGCCTGTGGCCCAGCGCCAGGATTTTAAATTGGGAGACTGGGCCCAGACGTGGTGGCTCACACCTGTAATCCCAGCTTTTTGGGAGGCTGAGGCGGACGGATCACCTGAGGTCAGGAGTTTAAGACCAGCCTGGGTAACATGGTGACACCTCCATCTCTACTAAAAATACAAAAATTAGCCAGGTATGGTGGTGGACGCCTGTAATCCCAGCTACTCTGGAGGCTGAGGCAGGAGAATTGCTTGAACCCGGGAGGCGGAGGTTGCAGTGAGCCGAGATCGGGCCACTGCATTCCAGCCTGGGAGACAGAGCCAGACTCTGTCTCAAAAAATAAATAAATAAATAAACTGGGAGACCAGGAGGGCCTACCTCTGAAGGGGACTTGAGAAAGGTGAGAGGTGAGGGGGGTTGGTGCTCTGCGGGAAGAGCGCACCAGGCAGTGGAAACAGCCCCTGCCAAGGCCCTGAGGCCAGAGGTTCATTCCATGGGAGGCCAGTGAGGCTACAGGGCTGTGAGCAAGAAGAAAACTTACAGGAGCTGAGGTCAGGAGAGCCAGGTGCGGGGAGTGGAGGACAGATCCTGGAGGGCCGTTTTCAGGCCAGCCCTTGATGTTTAGTAAATCTATGAGTCCTTAGTCAAGACTGAGATTCCTGGGGCAGGTACTGAAATCTTTCTGGGTTTATCTGCAGCCATATCGTCATTATCTGGGAATTCCAGGGCTGTCCTTGGGATCCCAGCCCAGTGCTCCTGCGTGCCAAGTGATCTTGAAGGGTCTGAAATAGGGAGCAGGTAAAAAATGTCAGTTTGGGAACACAGTGGCTCACACTTGTAATCACAGCACTTTGGGAGGGCGAGGCAGAAGGGTCACTTGAGCCCAGGAGTTTCAGACCAGTCTGGGCAACACAGTAAGACCCCATCTCTATAAAAAATTTAAAAATTAGCTGGGTGTGGTGGTGCATGCCTGTAGTCCCAGCTACTTGGAAGGCTGAGGCAGGAGGATCGCTTGAGCCCAGGAATTTGAGGCTACAGCGAGGTATGATCCTGCCACTGCACTCCAGCCTGGGTGACAGAATGAGCCTCTAAAAAAAAGACAAAAGCCAGTTTGGAAAGGTGTTGTGAGAGCCACTATTCCTGAACCAATGCAGAGCAGCTGAAACCCAGGGTGGGCCCCTTGGGAGCTGGCAATTCACCCCACACCTATTCTAGCCTGATTTCATCTTCTTGTTGGCTTGCAGAGAAGGTAGCTAGGGGAACTTTGCCACACCCTTGGGTTTTTTGTTTTGTTTTGTTTTTTATTTATTTTTTTGAGACGGAGTCTCGCTCTGTCGCCCAAGCTAGAGTGCAATGGTACGATCTCGGCTCACTGCAACCTCCGCCTCCTGGGTTCAAGTGATTCTCCTGCCTCAGCCTCCCGAGTGGCTGGGATTACAGGTGCCCGCCATCGTGCCCAGCTAATTTTTTGTATTTTTAGTAGAAACGGGGTTTCACCGTGTTGGCCAGGCTGGTCTTGAACTCCTGACCTCAGGTGATCACCCGCCTTGGCCTCTGAAGTGCTGGGATTACAGGGGCGTGCCCGGCCCCACCGTTGGGTTTTAAAGTTAGGAGTTAAATCTGAGAGGAATCACTGTGAACCAAGTCGGAGAGAGAAGTCAGGCTGTGGGGCTGCTGGAACACGTAAGGTTTTGTTTTTCACTTTGGACCAGTCTCCCCTCCTCAGCTGGGTTTTGTGTCATGGTTTGCCTTCCCTTATAGCTTCACTGCAAAGCTCTTTGGAAGGGCCCACACACAGGTCTTCCAGGGATAGGAAGGACAAGGACTTGGGCCCACAACTCAGGCAGTGGACAACAGCATGTCCTTCCAATGGCAAGGCAGGGAGGCTCCCTAGCAGGCCTGGGGATGAGCCGGGCTCCTCAGCCTGGCTGGCCCAGGGAACTGAGCAGGATCTTAACTGGGGCAGGGGGTGGGGTGGGGGTGCTGGGGTGGGAGGTGTGGTTACAAGTCCTGAATGCAGAGGGGAGAACGTGAACGTGCTGCAGTCAGACCTGGCGATCTGGCTGGGTTAGGAAGGGGCAGGGGGTCTGTTCCAGCCAGGCCCAGTTTAAGGGAGAGGTTGATCTGTGCCCTTAGGCAAGCACTGGGAGGAGCCTGATTCCTTCTCTGAAAGAATACAGTGTAATCTGTTGTTGTTTGAGAGGATTAAATGAGATAACAAATAACCTCCTCTCCCAGGGCTGGTTGCCTTGAAAGTGCTGAAGAAGAGGAGGGCTTTGGGAAGCAGGGCCCAGGTTGGAAGGTTAGGGGTGGTAAGGACTGGAGGACACAGGGGCAGACTTCACCCCCTGCTCAATTGTGCCCAGGCCTCTCTGCCTGGGCTCATGTGAGGAAAGAAACAAAATGGGTGGCGGTGGGGTGGCGCTCAGGCCGGCTGAGAACTTGGGCCCAGAGTTACCGGATCTCCTAATGCCCCCAGAGAAACAGGGAATCTGGATCTGAAATATGAAATCTTCCAGTTTTAAAACTTTGGGGAGTGGCCAGGCATGGTGGCTCACGCCTATAATCCCAGCAGTTTGGGAGGCCGAGGCAGGCGGATCACTTGAGGTCAGGAGTTCCAGCCCAGCCTGGCCAACCCCGTCTCTACTAAAAATACTGTGTGGTCCTGGGCAAAAATTAGCCAGGTGTGGTGGTGCACATCTGTAATTCCAGCTATTCAGGAGGGAGGCTGAGGCTGGAGAATCACTTGAACCCAGGAGGCAGAGGTTGCAGTGAGCCGATATTGAGCCACTGCACTCCAGCCTGAGCCACACAGCGAGACTCTATCTCAAAACCAACAAAAACAAAAAGCAAAAAAAAAAAAAAAAACTTTGGGGATTAATTAACAAAACAACAACAGAAAGCACCGCGCAGGCCAAGTAAAGCCCACCACCTGGCTGGTGACCCCCTGCTCTGGCAAAGGTGTCACTGAAGGCAGGCCCTCCTGGGAGGAGGCTTCTCACTCTCCTGCTCTTGGAAATGGGCTCTAGATAGACCCAGTTTCCTGGTGATCGCTGGGAGAACAGAGCTGTCCTGTTGGGCTTTGTGGTCCTGGGCAAAGCCCTTCCCCTCTCTGGGCCAGTTTCCTGGCCGGCGAAAGGACTTAGTCTGTGGGGCTCCTGCCCGTTTGGACACGTGTGTGACTCAGTCCCTCAGCCTCGAGGAGGGAAGATACGGCTATTATAGAAGTGACTCCTCCCAGGAACTGTGCTTCCGGGATTGGACGCAGGGCCTCAGGCATTTTGCGTGTCCACAGTCACAACTGTGTGAATATAGGTGTGTCATAATTGGAAGCTTTGCATGGCTCAGTGTAAATATCATCACTTTAATGACTTTGTTCTGCAACCTTTCATCGCGGCTCTGCATGCCGGTAGAAGCTTTTATTAATTCTGTGACCTGGGGAGGACAGGGTCCTTCCTCCCATTTGCTGTTTAAGGAAACCCAAGCTCAGAGCTGGGAGGTGGCTTGGCTAAACGTGCACCACTCGGAGCCCAGACTCAAGTGTCGGTGCTTTGGTACTTGTGGCACCCCTCCTTCAACAGGGGAGAATGAGGTTGGGATCTGAGGGGTCCTCTCTGTGCCCATCACAGTTTGAGCTTCAGGGAAAAGAAGAAGAGGTCTTTGCCCTTCGTTTTTCCACGGGAGGAGAATGTATGAGCCCAGGCTACCTTTCTGGGCCTTGTGTCGACATCCCTAGCTGTCTCCTCAAATCTCTTGCCCTGAATCAACCTGGCCTGTGTTCTCTGCGGCACTCGGAACCTGGAGGCGGACTGAGCCTCCAGCAGTCTAACATCTTTTGCAGTGTCGTGAATAGCCGCCTGTTTTCGCAGGGGCCCAGTGCTCTGCCTGGAGAGGAGAGAGATCCTGGCAGGCGGGGAGAGGAGACTTTGGGTCTAGACCCTCCCCTCCCATCCCCTCACCTCCGCTTTTTGTGCGCCCTCCTCTTCCCTCTGTCCCCCCCGCACCCCGTCTTTTCCACCTGTGCCCTGGACTGCATTAGGGTGTCAGTATCTGTGTGCTCCCCCACCCCCACGCGTAAGCCCGCGCGCCTGCACTGAGGCTGGGGAACTGCGTCTCGCAGCTGCGGCCCCCAGCGCGGAGGGCGCGGGCCCTTTAAATCCTCCGGGGCGGCGGCGGCGGGCCGGGGATGACATCAGCGGGCGGGCCCGGGGCTCAATGGGAGCCGGCGGGCGCGCGCGGTGCGAGAGCGCGCGAGCCGGCGGCGGGGGCGGGCGGGCGGGCAGGAGGCCGGGAGGAGGGAGGCGGCGGCGGCGGCGGCGGCGGCGGCGAGAGCCCAGAGCCAGAGCCCGGCCGGGGCCGAGCGGAGCGCGGCGGCGGCGGCGGCGGCGGCGGCTGGGCCGGGAGAGGCTGGCGCGCCGGGCGGCTCCGCGAATCCTCCGGCATCCGCCCCGGCGGGCCGCCCCCGCCCGCGGCAGCCCCCCGAGCAGTGGCCCGGCATCGGCGCCTTCCCGGCGGGGTAAATATCGGGGGGCCGCGGGCCCGCGGAAGGGTGCAAACCTGGGGGGAATCGGGCTCCCTCAGCCTCTTTGTTTTTGCTGGAGAGGGAGGGAAGGGAGGGCAGACACACGCGCGTTCGCGCTGGGGTGTAGGGGGGGCAGCCCGGGCGCCGCCCGCTCGGCCCGGCGAGGACAAAGGCGCGGCTGGGGACGAGGAGGAGGGGGCCTGTTATTTTGCAGGCTCGCGGGGGAGGCCCCCCGGCCGGCCTGCCTCCGCTTCCCCCCGCTGGGCCCTCCGAGGCCCCGGCCGGCCAGGCGGCCACCCCGGCTGTGATTTGGGGACGCTGAGGGAGGGGGCTTGGGGTGCTGGGCGCCGGATACTGTTGATTCGGGCCCGCGTAGCGTTTCATCGGACAATCACCGGCGCCCCCTGCTCTCCCGGCCCCGGCGCCCGGACCTGGGGGTTCGCAAGGCTGCGCCCGCTCGTTGGATGACGGGCGTTTGGGGGTCCTAAGGTGAAGAGGTGTGTGGTCACCAGGCCACTGATTTGTTTTTCTTTGTGGAGAGAAAGAAAGGGGTGGGGGTTATTTGTCGGATCGGATTCTCCCATTTTTGTGTGAGAGATTGATGTCTTGCAAGTCTCTAAGGAACGCAAAACAGTGTCTGGGTGTCGTTAGAGGATTCCCAAGCTCTTGTTAATACCCTAACTCGAAGTGGGGTGAGCCCCCTCCCCAACTTTTCCCTTAGTTTTCTTGCATATTTTCTTCCTGGCATAGCCTCCTTCCTGGAGAAGGATTTGGAGAGAGGAGAAGGGGACACAAGTGTCTCAAGTTGCTTCCAAGCAATGCCTGTGTTTGGGTCTCCTTTGCCTTCGTTTCTATGATGTCCCTTCAATTTTTATTTTAATCGTCCGAGGGACAAGGGCCCCGGCTCAGGGGTAGGCGATGGTGTTCGGGGAGTAAGAAGCACTGCCCGTGTGCCATGCTGGTTGGTAGTTTGTCTAATTTTTTTAACCTGCTGAAACTCTTGAACCTTTATATCCACTTTTCCCCCCACTTTGTTTATCTCCCCCCCTCCCCCATGGGAGAAGCAGCAAAAGAACTGAAAAGCCTCTCCATTCCTGAATGAAGCTTTTCTGCTCTCCTCTGGGAGGCTTTTTGGGTATTGGTGCCGGGACAGTCTAGGCTCCCCCAGGGACCTTGGACCCCTGGGGTGTTGGGGAGCGACTGGGGGTCTGGGTGGCTGGCACATAGCAGTCAGGGGGTCCTGAAGGGCTTGCCCCTTCCCGCTCTCGTTCTCTGCAGACAGCCGGTGAGTGGGGAGAGACTGGGGGGTCATGTGCAGTATATTTATGTAAGACACCCAGACAGAGGGCACGGGTATTTATATAACCCGGCGTGGGTATTTATGTAATATAGGATGCGGGTATATTTATGTTCCTTTCCTAACCTGCGGGTTTCCTGGCTGCCATGTGTGGTCTCTGAATTGGTGTTGGCAGAAAGTGGACTGAGGTGTTGGGGGGGGGTTGCGTGCACACCCCCCCTTACCCCCCAACAGGGCTCACTGTGTGTGCCTGCTTTTCTTTCTTCCGTTGGAGTGTACACACTCGGGAAGCTGGACGTGTGTGTACGTGGGATGTGTGGCGTGTGGGTTTCCTGCAAACGTGGACTGTGTTCCCCTGGCAGCGTGGCACCTCAGCTGAGACAGGCCAAGCATATGGGCAGCGGCCCTTGATTGAGAGCCCAGAGTTTGGCCAGCTCTGGTGGAGGTCCCTGCCTCGTGGTTATTGGTGGAGGGCTGGTGAGCTCCTTGGGAGCCAGGTGCCGGGGTTCCCTGTCTCTCCTGGGATCTGCCCACTGTCCCTGGAATCCATCTCCCTCCCAGGCTGGCCTGGTTGTTGGGGGCAGCACTTGGCACGGGCAAGGGGCTGATCTTCTGTGCCAGCACAGCTGCTCTGCAGTCTTCCTGTTTTGCCCTGTTTGTGAGTGTGGGAGACCACCAGGTGGGACAGCCGGAGCCCTGTCCTCGGCGAGGCTGTACCATCTGCAGGGTGGTGTGGGACAGGTGGCATGGCCTCTGTGAGCCTGAGTACCCTGTCTGTGAAAGGAGTTCCCTCTTGCTAGTCCTTGATGCTGGTCCTCTTGTAAACACCCCTCCCCCTGTTTACTGCAGTCCCTGGTCCCTGTCCCCACGGCAGCACTGCCTCCAGGCCTTCAGTTTCCTCCTCTGCTGACCAGGAACAGGGTGTCCGGACTTTTGCCCCAGGCCAGAGCAGAGGGGTCCCTCCTCTGCCCCAGGCCAGAGCAGAGGGCTCCCCCCTGGCCCTGAGGAAGGAGAGAAGCTGCTCACATCAGAACTCCTCCTCCCACCCATCCGGGGCAGGCGGCTAAAACCCTGGCTCAGTCCCCTTTGTTGTTCTATGAGGGCCCTCTTAGGAGACCCTCCTAGTCTTAAAGGACGCCAGCTCCAAACAGTTTATCCAAGCGGCTATGGGCCTCCGTGTGAGGTCTTGGTGTCATGACGTAGAGATGGGGAGGTGGCTGGAAGGTGGATGGTCGAGGGCATTCTTTTCTGCCTTCCCCCCAGTAGGGGATGCGACTTTCTCCTGCAAGGCGTGCTGGGCACTGGCGAGGTCTGGCCTCTGGGCAGGGGCAGTACTTGGGAAGACCAGGCCAGGCTGTGGGAGCCTGGGGGGTAGGAGGTGTAAGAGGGCTGATGCCCGTTGTGATCCCTTGAGAAGCTTCTTTTGAGGGGCCCCTGAATGAGCATCCCCCAAAGACATGCTTGCTTGGCTGCTTCCTCTCTGGCCACACTGAAACCTGTCCTCAGCCTGCCTTAGCTGTTCCCCAGGTGTGTGGAGTGCAGGCTGTGGGCCACCTGACACCTGCAGAATGTGGTCTTCGAGAATGCAGGTTTTCGAGTTCCTGGTGGCTCTGCCTGGCCTTGGTGGACTGGACCCCTTTCCCGGCTCCCCACGTCGCTGACCCTCATGTTCCTGCTTCCTCTGCAGCAAGAGTGAGCCATGGAGCTACGTGTGGGGAACAAGTACCGCCTGGGACGGAAGATCGGGAGCGGGTCCTTCGGAGATATCTACCTGGGTAAGTGTTCCTAGCTCCAGCTGGAGCCCCTGGGGCCAGCCCATGGGACCAAGAGGAGGAAAGACCCCAGGATTTGGGGATCTGAAGTCAGAATGTGGCTCCAGGGGCATGATTTGCCCCAGGGCCATCCCAGATGGGGAAGGAAGCAGCAGGTTGCCGGGAGGCAGGCCAGGGGGCTCCTCTCGCAGGCCAGGCTGGGCACTGGAGGGTATTTTTAGCTCCAGTTTCTGCAGGAGTCATGCGGTTCTTTTGTGCCTCAGTGTCCCGGGTCAGCTGGGTCACCAGCTGGGTGTGGGAAAACCCAGGCGGGGTTCACATCCTCTCCCCTGCTTCCTGGGAGAAGGATATTGGTAGATAGAAGGGACTTGGGTTGCTGCTGGACCCCTAGCCAGGCCCCCCTCTCTATGTCCTGGCCTCCTGGAACCCAGCCCAGGCAGGCTTTGGGATGACGCAGGCTCCCCTGTAACCTCGGGGGTGGGGTGGGGGGATGCGGTCTCCTCATTAGGGAGTTCTCTCTCTCTCTTTTTCTCTCCGGATGTGCTTCCTGTTGAAAGTATGAGTATGCTGTGATGTTGCATTTTAAACAAATCACTGACCTCTCAGTCCTCCCCTTGGCCTGGGAGAAATGAGGCTTGCGCCTTTCAGTGCCACTTCTGAGGGGCACGGTCATGAGTCTTGGCCCTTCCTTTGTGCTTATTGGTCCAAAGGGAAGGTATTTAGTGTTGGTGCTTGTGGATTAGCGGGTGGAGGCTTGAAGTTGCTGGAGTGAGGTGGCCAGCCCTTCTACGAGTTATCCTCATTCCTGTCCCTGCACCCTCAGAAGCAGGCTAGACACACCTCTGTGCCTTGGTTACCCTCCTTGGAAAATGAAAATCAGCTCTGTCCAGTGCAGAGAACACCAAGTCTGTGTGTCGTGTCCATCAGCTCAGAACTTCGGGGTTTCTGTTACCCCATGGTTAGGGTTCCTTGGAGTATGAAATGTGCTAAGGAAGCCTCAATGGAGACGGGGACGGAGACTGGGAGTTCCCTGACCACTTCCTTGCAGGGTACTTTCTGCAGCCCCTAGAGATAGTACCAGATTATTTGTTTGGCACATCAGGAAACTGAGGCACAGATGGTCAAGTTGGCCTCCCAAGACCGCTCTAGAAAACTGGCAGAAGCAGCCTGTATGCCCACAGCCCTCCACATGAGTGAGAGCGTGGAAGACAGAACATGCCGAGGGAGACGTTAGACGTCTAGCTCTGCGTTCTAGACGTGGCTTTGTGTGGCTGTGGGAAGGTCATGCAGCTCCTCTGTGCCTCAGTGTCCCCATCTGTAGTTTGTGATAATGCTGCCTGACTGACCAAGAACTGTTCCAAGGCAGAGATGAAATGACAGATGGGAAAGTATTTTGTAAACTCTAAAGTGCCAGCCAGATGTGCAGTTCATTGCTGAGTGCTTAGTAGATGAGCCTCCCCTATGGACACCCTGGAGCTCAGAGGGAGGGAGAGTGTGTGGTGCAGCTGGTTTAAAGGTTTTTCTCTGCGACCCCAAGCTACTCCCGGGGAGGCAGGCATTTGGTAATATCTGCTAGTGCCCAGCGCAGTGGGTGTTCACTGAAGGCTAGTCAAGCAAACCAATGAGAAAATGGGGATTGTGACATGCACAGACATGCACAGTAGCCTCACAGCAGAATAGAAAAATGCCGGGATGGCCAGGTGCGGTGGCTCACACCTGTAACGCCAGCACTTTGGGAAGCCAAGACAGACAGATTGCTGGAGTCCAGGAGTTCGAAACCAACTTGGGCAACATGGTGAGACCCCATCTCTACAAGAAAAATATAAAAAGTAGCTGGGCATGGCGGCACGCGCCTGTAATCTCAGCTACTCAGGAGGCTGAGGTGGGAGAATCACCTGAGCCATGGAGGTTGAGGCTACAGTGAGCTGAGATCACACTCCAGCGTGGGTGTCAGAGTGAGACCATGTCTCAAAAAAAAGGAGGCCAGGAGATATGGCTCACACCTGTAATCCCAGCACTTTGGGAGGCCGAGGCGGGCAGATCACTTGAGGTCAGGAGTTCGAGACCAGCCTGGCCAACATGGTGAAACGCTGTCTCTACTAAAGATACAAAAATTAGCTGGGTGTGGTGGCACATGCCTGTATCCCAGGTACTCTGGAGGCTGAGGCGGAAGAATGGCTTGAATCTGGGAGGTGGAGGTTGCAGTGAGCTGAGATCGT
This sequence comes from Homo sapiens, assembly GCF_000001405.40. Lineage (NCBI taxonomy): Eukaryota > Metazoa > Chordata > Mammalia > Primates > Hominidae > Homo > Homo sapiens. Next base: position 38,311,865 of record NC_000022.11, on the reverse strand, counting down.
GTCATTGCACTCCAGCCTGGGCGACAAAGCAAGACTCCATCAAAAAAAAAAAAAAAAGAAGGAAAGAAAAGGGCTGAGATGTGGGGGCCAGTCCAGGTTCAGATCCCCAGCGTGTTCCTCATTTGCTGTGTGACCTGGAGTAAGTCACCATATCATTCTGAGCCTCAGTCTTCTCATCTGAAATGAGTGTACCCAGCTCCTTACTGTTTGTGAAATTGGAGTGGGTGTAAAGGACCCTCGTATTATTGAAGCTGTTGGGCTGAGCACTGAAGTCTGGAGCCACTGGCTGGAGGTCAAAGGGCATGGAGACAGCTCTTGGCACAGACTTGTTCCTAGACAGCGCCCATCCCAGGTCCCGTCGCTCTTTTTGCAGACAGGAGACAGGCCCATGGCTGGAGCGGGGACAGCCCAAGATCACTCAGAAAATCCAGAATCTTGTGTGGTGGGACCTCCCTGGGGACAGGACTTCCTGTTTATCTGCATAGTCATCTCATTCATTTTAAAAACTAAGTACAGATTTACTCCTCTTTGTACTGGCTCTAGAGTAAATTCGACCTAGGTTTGGGTGCTGGTTCTTCCTTTTGTGAGCTGTATGCGCTTGAGCAGGTGATGACCTTGTCCATCCTTGGCTTCCCCATCTGCAAAATGGGGTCGTGCAAAGTAATGAGGTCGTGGCGTGTAAAATACCCACGTGTGCTGGGCCCAGCAGTAGTGCTGTGCGCTGCGCCCCCACCATTGGTCTTAGTTTCTAGTTCGGAGTTGATTTCGAAGGGTCTGGGTCCTCTGGGTCTGAGTCTGGGGAGGCGAGTCAGACTCCTGACTCTCCCATCTTCACTGGTGCAAGGGCCTCAGGGGACCCTGCCCTGACTCACCATCCTGCCAGCACCCTCCTGGGCCCCTGTCTTGTTGGTTTGGGGACAGTGGTGATTGTAGGGCGTCCCCGGCCAGCCTTGCTGGCTCCATTTATTCAACACTCTGGCCACATTCTTATCCCCAGTGCTCTGCCAGGGCCTGACTCCAGATGGCCTCTGCCGGTGGGGCTGGATGCGTCCTCCAAGCCCTGCTTTCCAGGATCACCCGAGGGCCAGCACACTATGGATGTGGCTTCTGCCCCTTCTCCCTCTGCATCATAAGGGGTCAGCCAAGAGAGTGGGGCCTGCTTTGTTAAGGCACTGCTGTTGCCCATGCAGGGTCCAGAGGTGGCCAAATCTGGGCCCATTTGCTAGACTTGCATCCTGGGGAACTCTCTAGACCTCTTAGAGTCTCTGGTCCTCAGCTCTGAAAGGGGTGGCGAACAGTGTTGTTCGCTGACAGGTGGTTCCAGGGGTGAGAGTTAGTGTGGGAAATACTCCAGGCCTCTGATGGGTGGGAACTGAGGTTGCCGCCGCTGCTGCTGCCGGGACGGTGGGCTTCATCCCCTGTCCTCCAGTCCACCCATGTCCCCGATTGTGTCCATGTGTCTGTGTAGGTGTCAAGTAGGCCCCCGTGTGAGGCTGGCCACGCCCGTGGCCACCTGGAACTTGCCAAGTTCCCAGCCCCTCTAGGGCCAGCCAAGTCCAAGCCCTTTTCTGTGTCCAAGTTTGTTTTGGGAACTGGCATTCCCTCCACTGTGTCTGACTCATGGGGCATCTTCTGTTCCTGAAATCGGGCAGTTCTAGCTTCTAGGCCTTCGCATGTGGGGCACCCCTGCATCTATGCTCAGCCGGCTCCCAGACACAGCCTCTGCCAGGAAGCCTCACCTGGAGTTTGAGTGGAGAAAAAACACAGGGACTTTGGGGACTAAGTTTCAAATTCTGGCTGTGCCCCATCCAGTTCTGTCAGACCTTAGGCCAGTTACCTAACGTTTCTGAACCTCAGCTTAGCGGTTGTAAGAATTAAGGGAGCTCAGAGAAAAGCCTGGCGGCTTCCTGATAGAATTTAGAGGCCACCAAGGAACTCATTGGTGGCAGGACCTGCTGCAGGGGGAGGCAGCTCTGGCAGGTTTCCAGCACTTGCGGGGGTCAGAGGCTTTGCCTAGCAGCTTGGGTCCCTGTCCCTGGGAAGTTTGTAGCATATGATCATTTGACCTTTGGTGTCTGTTTTTCCACATGTCAAACAGAAATGCAAACAGTAGGCCAGGCACAGTGGCTCACGCCTGTAATCCCAGCACTTGGGAGACCAAGGCGGGCAGATCATTTGAGGTCAGGAGTTTGAGACCAGCCCGGCCAACATGGTGAAACCCCATCTCTACTAATAATACAAAAATTAGCCAGGCGTGGTGGTGTCTGCTTGTAATCCCAGTTACTCGGGAGGCTGAGGCATGAGAATCGCTTGAACCCGGGAGGCAGAAGTTGCAGTGAGCCGAGATCATGCCACTGCACTCCAGCCCAGGCGACAAAGTGAAGCTGTCTCAAAAAAAAAAGAAAAAAGAAATACAAACAGTAGTACTCGAAGAGTGGAGTAAGGGCTCGAGGGGAAGAGGGCCCTGTCTACCACTACCTCCCCAGCACCTCTCCTCCCTGCACACATCTGCCGAATCACCAAGTGCTGCAGGCCCTGCCTCCAAAGTGTCAATCAGTTTCTGCACCCTGCCCAGGCAGGGCCACCGTCAGCTCTTGCCTGGTCTCTGTAGTGGCCTTCCCAGGCCTTCCACTACCCCTCTAGCCTCCTCCAGCCCTTTCGTATCCACCAGGTAGCCTCAACAGGGTGATTTTTGTCCCCCAGGAGACATATGTCAAGATCTGGAGACCTTTTGGTTGTTACAATTCAGGGGGAAAGGGGTGCCCTGGCATCTAGTGGGTAGAAGTCATGGGTGCTGTTAGACTGTGCAGTGCCCAGGGCAGCCCCACAACCAGGAATTCTCCAGCTCCAGTGTCAGTAGTGCCACGGTTGAGAGATCCTGTGATCACACACCTGAACATGGCCCTTGGTGCCTCAGGCTGAAGGCCAGGATCTTAGCCGGCCATTCAAGACCCTTCAGATCTCTTCCCTGCCCACCTCTTCCACTGTCTTTTTCTGCCACCCCATGGTTCCCGCTGCACCTGCTGCTGTTGGGCCTCTGCTTGTGCCGTGACCTCTCTTGTCTGTCCAGTACAGTCCTGTTTGGGAGCCAGGAGCCCTTGCAGCCTGCCCTCCCGGAGGCTCTCCTTTCCTCATAGCATGGCTTATTCCCTCTTCCCCTCCTCCCACTGGGTGGACACCGGCTCATCTCTAGCCTAGGGGCTGCACTTCCCACCAAGCCGAACATCATGGAGCATTGACTGTGTGCCAGGCACTCTTGTAAGCATGTTTGTCTGTCAGAACATCCCAATGAGCCAGATAGTGTCATCGGTTTACACATGAGGTACCTGGGGCTCAGAGGGGTGAAGTGCCTTGTCCGACGACCCCTGGCCAGGGGATGTCCGAGTCAGGATTTGGGCTCTAGTAGGTTGGCTCTGAAACTCACACTTCAACCGCTGCACTCTCCTGCCTCTCTGCTCATGGGGAAATGGAGCATGGCCAGGGGACTCTAAGGATCCTCACTGTCCCCTGGAAACCTGTGTGGCTCATCCCAGTGACGAGCATTGATGTGTCAAAAGCTCTTTACAGTTTGCAAAGTACTTTCATTCCTGTTGCTGGCTAGATTGAGTTATTCATTCTGTTTTTCTTTTTCTTTTATTAAAAATCCAAATACTCAAAAATCAAAACACAAAAATGTGTTAAGTGAAAGAAGCCAGTCACAAAAAATCACGTTGTATGATTCTGTTTGATTCTATTTCTGTGAAATGTCCAGAAAAGACAAATCCATAGAGACAGAATGTAGATTAGTTGGGGGGCAGGGGATGGAGCGAGGAGATAGGACCTTACCCCACTAAAGGCTACAGGTGTTTTCAGGGTGATGAAAATACAGCCCTCCTGGGCCAGGCACAGTGGCTCATGCCTGTAATTCCTGCACATTGGGAGGCTGAGGCAGGTGAATCACTTGAGCCCAGGAGTTGGAGACCAGCCTAGAGATGGCAAACCCTGTCTACAAAAAATACAAAAATTAGCCAGGTGTGGTGGCTTGCGCCTGTAGTCCAGCTACTCGAGAGGCTGAAGTGGGAGGCTCACTTGCGCCCCAGAGGTTGAGGCTGCAGTGAGCTGTGTTAGTGCCACTACAGTCCAGCCTGGGTGGCAGATTGAGACCCTGTCTCAAAAAGAAAAAGAAAATACAGCCCTCCACCTTCGGTACCTGTGGGGAATAGGTTCCAGGATCCCCCTCAGATACCAGAATCCTCTGATTCTCAAGTTCCTGATATAAAAAGCTGTAGTATTTGTATATAAGCTACGCGCATCCTCTGTATACTTTTTTTTGTTTTGAGACGGAGTCTCGCTGTGTCGCCAGGCTGGAGTGCAGTTGTGTGATCTCGGCTCACTGCAACCTCCGCCTCCCAGGTTCAAGAGATTCTCCTACCTCAGCCTCCTGAGAGCTGGGATTACAGGCGCTCCCACGGGAGCACCTTGGCTAATTTTTGTATTTTTAGTAGAGATGGGGTTTCATCATGGTGGTCAGGCTGGTCTGGAACTCCTTGCCTGGTGATCCGCCTGCCTCAGCCTCCCAAAATGCTGGCACCTGGCCTTCTCCATATACTTTAAATCATCTCTAGATCACTTATAATACCTAATACAATGTAAATGCTATGTAAATAGTTATTGTACTGTATTTTTAATTTTTATATTATTTACCTATTTATTTTTGAGACATGGTCTTGCTCTGTCACCCAGGCTGGAGTGTGGTGGTGTGATCATAGCTCACCGCAACCTTGACTTACTAGGTTCAAGCAGTCCTCCTGCCTCAGCCTCCCAGGTAGCTGGGACCACAGGCACGTGCTACCACGCCTGGCTAATATTTGTATTTTTTGTAGAGATAGGGTCTCACTATGTTGCTTAGGCTGGTCTCGAACCGCTGGACTCAAGTAATCCTCCTCAGCCTCCCAAAGTGGTAGTACTACAGTTGTGCATCACTGCACCCAACCTATTTCTTATTGTTGTGTTGTTATTTTTTATTTTCTCCCCCCACGTATTTTTGATCCATGGTTGAATCGGCAGATGCGGAACCCACAGCAGATGCTGATACGAAGGTATCAGCTGATAAGAAGATGCTGTGTTCTAATTTTTAATTTTTTTTTTTTTTTTTTTGAGATGGAGTCTTGCTCTGTCGCCAGGCTGGAGTGCAGTGGCACAATCTCGGCTCACTGCAACCTCTGCCTCCTGGGTTCAAGCAATTCTCCTGCCTCAGCCTGCCGAGTAGCTGGGATTACAGGCGTGCGCCACTACGCCCAGCTAATTTTTGTACTTTTAATGGAGATGGGGTTTCACCATGTTGGCCAGGATGGTCTTGATCTCTTGACCTTGTGATCCGCCTGCCTCGGCCTCTCAAAGTGCTGGGATTACAGGCGTGAGCCACCGCGCCCGGCCTGTGTTCTAAAATTGATTGTGGTAATGGCTGCGCAAGCTTGTGAATATACTAAAAACGGTGAGTCGCACACTTTGAGTGACTCAATTGGAGAGTTATCTGAATTACATCTCAATAAAGGTGTTGAAAGAAATTGCAACTTATAACACAGTATCCAGTGAAGCGTCCCCCACCCCTTCCTCCCTGACCCACTTAGCCCTGTACAGTCATGTTTCTGTTCAGTGTTTCTTTATGTAGCTAGAGCCAAACACAGATACTTAGTTCCCCACCTTTTTAAAGAAAACTGAAATGAGAGTGTGGAATATACACTGTTCTGTGCTTTGCTTTTTCACTTCCTGTATCTTGGAGATCTTTCCACTTGTGTGCAGAGAGAGCTTCCTGGTTCTTTTTCCATTGTATTCTGTTTTATGGATGGGCTATTCTTTATTTAATCAGCCCCCTCAGGAGGGACATTTGGGTTGTTTCCAAGCTTCTGCTGTTCCAAACAGCCTGCAGCCGACAGCCTTGTCCCCGCCTTGTTTTGCACCGTGCTAGGATGTCAGGTAAACTCCCAGAAGCGGGGTTGCTGGTCAGGGCTGAGTAGCGTCAAATCCCCCTCCAGTGGCGACTCAGCAGTTGACGCCTCCACCACCTGGGAGGAGTGCTCAGCGCCCCCACAGTCTTGCCGACAGACAGGTGTGTTATCTCGTAAGACTTTTGACAATCCTAGGTGAAACATGGTCTTTCACGATCATATTAATTTGCATTTCTCTTACAAGGAGGTTGGGCATCTTTCCCTATGAGTAAGGCTTTTCTATTAATGATTTCTTTCTCTGTGAAGTGTGTGTTTCAAATCCTTTGGCCTATTTTCTGCTGAGTCTTTTTCTGACTGATTTGTAGGAGCTCATTACATATTAGCTCTTTGCCTGTGATAAGAATTGCAAGTGAGTATGTCTCTTAGGACTTTATTTCCGGTGTTTTTGCCATGCAGAAGGGATTCTTTTTTTTTTGGAGAGGAAGGAGCTTTTTTTTTTTTTTTTTAAATGGCTTTAGGATTTTGAATCAGGGATAAAAATAAAAGCTTTGCCTAACCCCAAGGCTATAAGGCAATTCTCCCTTCTTCTAACATTTCATTGTTATTTCTTATTAAACGTTGAGTGGATGCAAAGAATACGTATAGAATACCTGCATGGCCTAAGGTGTCCCTCCCTGGGAACCACCGTCTGACATTTAATCTTTTTCCTTTCTTTCGTGTTTAAATCTGTATTGTCCAGTCTTGTTGCCTGTTTTGATATGGAAACAAGTAGAACTGTGCTTGCACTCTTCTTTTTTTTTTTTTTTTTTTTTTTTTTGAGCTGGAGTTTCACTCCGTCACCCAGGCTAGCGTGCAATGGCACAATCTCGGCTCACTGCAACCTCCGCCTCCTGGGTTCAAGTGATTCTCCTGCCTCAGCCTCCCAAGTAGCTGGGATTACAGATGCCTGCCACTGCGCCCGGCTAATTTTTGTATTTTTGGTACAGACAGGGTTTCACCACCTTGGCTGGGCTGGTCTCGGACTCCTGACCTTGTGATCCACCCGCCTCAGCCTCCCAAAGTATTGGGATTACGGGCGTGAGCCACTGTGCCTGGCCTCGGGTAGAATGTTTTCAAGGTGCACTCGTGTCGTAGCGTGTATCGGTACTTTATTCCTCTTTATTGCTGAATAATATTCCGCCGCATGGAGGCACTGCATTCCATTCATCCTTGCATCTGTGACAGATGTTTGTTGTTTCCACCCTCTGGCTGCTGTGAGGAGTGCACCCCTGGGACCAGGGTCATTGTGTGAAGCAGGCATCCTTTCCTCTTCACTGCCGCCTGGGATTCCCTGGTGACTGCGCCACTGTTCCTGTTCTTCTGCTGCTGAGCACTTGGGCTGTTTGCTCCTGTGTCCATCCTTGTCCTGTCCCCCTGGTGCACACGTGTTTCTGAAGGATGTACACTCAGGAGTGGGGTTGCTTGGGCGAGCGTTTGTTTATGTTCAGCTTCACCCAAGAGGTGCACAGGGGCTGTGCCAACTCACACCCACACCTTTATTTCTTATATACAAACTTTTCCTCTACTTGAGATTTCTCCTGGTTGTGGTGTGAGCCATGGTGTCTTTTCTCAGGTGGCCAGCCGGTTGTTCAGGGACATTATTAATGAACAGTCTCATCTTTTCCTCTGATGTGAGGTCCTGCCTTTCTCCTGTCTTGAACTCCTCCTGAGGCTGTGTCCCTGGGGGTTGTTCTGGCCTGTTTGTGTCCTGTTGCGACACTGTCCTACTCCTCCTGCTGGGCTCGCTGCTGGCCCCAGGAAGGAGACACCCTGTCGCCCAGCCTAGCCCCAGCCCTTCATCTCATCCACCCATACAGCCAGGGAAACTGAGGCAAGGTACACTTTGGGCTTGGTCTTTCTTGTGACTTCTTGAGTTGGGCAGTGGGCCCAGGCAGAGAGCGGGGCCTTGGTGTGTGTGAGGGTATTTTCTTAGAGCCCCTTGAGAAGCCAGGAGTGGACTGGGGGAGACGGGGAGGTGCAGGCAGGACCTCTGACCTATGCTGGAGGCCAGCAGAGCCGGGGTTGATCTCAAGGCCGCCATTTACAGGTCAGGTGACCTTGAGCTGGGTCTCTAGCTGGGTCTCTGTTTTCTCATCTCTACAAGGGGGTTGAGAATCGAATGAGACACTGGATTAGAATGTGCAGGGCTGCCTCTGAAGGCATCAGCATTGACTGAGGGGTTGCTGCGGCTGTCCCATCCTCATCCTGTAGGCCAGGGTGGTCCTGGCTTGTTCTGGTGTGTTCGGCAGCCCAGCCCCATTGGGCCTCTTCTGCACGTGCCACCATCTCAACCCGACAGACCTCACTGCCTGAATTTGCTCTAGGACTCAGCCCCCTCCCTTAGGTGGTCTGTGAGCCTTTTGCATACCTGACCCTTGCCCCACTCACATCGGGCCTTCTTGTCGCCCCAACCTGTGGCCCTGGGTAGCCCTTGTGTGTCACCTCTGTCCCTCACAGCGCTGACCTTCTTTCCCCTCAGGAACCCTTTGCCGGGGCTCCTTTGCCCCCTTCCCAGCCTCCCCCAAGAGCTCCTCAAGGGCAGATGGCCCCGGGCCCGGCACACGCCAGATCTCAGAAATGCTTAGTGGGGCGCCTGGGACTGCCTGGCCTTTGAGGGTGACCCTGGTCCCTTGCCTCCCTGCCCCGGGCAGGTGCCAACATCGCCTCTGGTGAGGAAGTCGCCATCAAGCTGGAGTGTGTGAAGACAAAGCACCCCCAGCTGCACATCGAGAGCAAGTTCTACAAGATGATGCAGGGTGGCGGTGAGCGCAGGGTGGGCGGCGGCGGGCGCCGGGTGGGTGGCGGTGGGCAGCCATGAGCACAGGGTGGGCCGGGCGTGGCTGGCTGCCTGCCTCTGACCCCTGACAGAGGCCCTCTGCTTGACCCCCAGTGGGGATCCCGTCCATCAAGTGGTGCGGAGCTGAGGGCGACTACAACGTGATGGTCATGGAGCTGCTGGGGCCTAGCCTCGAGGACCTGTTCAACTTCTGTTCCCGCAAATTCAGCCTCAAGACGGTGCTGCTCTTGGCCGACCAGATGGTGAGTCCCCGTCCCCTCCATCCCCAGCCAGATGCCTGTGGGCCCAGGATACCAGCCCTGCCTCCTGCCCCCAGAGGATGCCAGAGGATGGGCCTGGGCCAGGGGACCTTGTCCACTGGCTATAGAATTGTAGGTGTTTATTTATTTTTTGAGGCGGAGTCTCACTCTGTCGCCCAGGCTGGAGCGCAGTGGTGCGATCTCAGCTCGTTGCAACATCCGCCTCCCAGGTTCACGCGATTCTCCTGCCTCAGCCTCATGAGTAGCTGGGATTACAGGCACCTGCCACCACGCTGGGCTAATTTTTGTATTTTTAGTAGAGACAGAGTTTTACCAAGTGATCCGCCCATCTTAGCCTCTCAAAGTGCTGGGATTACAGGCGTGAGCCACCGTGCCCAGCCAAGTTGTTTATTTAAAATGTGATTTCAGGCCCAACTCCAGACCTGCCGAGTCAGGGCCTGGGACTCTGCCTGGGGTAGTTTTATTTATTTATTTCAAAAATATCATTTAATTGTAAGAAATAGAGATGGGGGTCTCACTGTGTTGACCAGGCTGGTCTCAAACTCCTGGCCTTGAGCAGTCTTCCCATCTTGGCCTCCCAAGATGGGAATTAACACGGGATCACAGGCATGATCCACCACGTCTGGCCTGCCCTGGGTAATGTAAAGCCTGCGGTCGGTCACACAGACCTGGTCCTGTTCCAGACCAGTGACCGTAGGTGAACGCCGAACCTCTCTGAGCCTCAGTGGCCTCATGTGAGAGTCTCTCCTTTGTTGGTTGTTGAGGGGATTAGGTGAGATACCATTCAGCGCCTTGCCAAAACAGGCCCCTCTAACAGGCTGTTGTTAAGTACTAAGCCCTTCATCAGCATAGGGAGGAAAGCTTCTTAAAAATACAAAACTGTAGAATTTTGAACTTGGAATGGAATGTGGAGATCTCGTACAGGGGTTTTAATCTTGGTCTGCAAAAGCCCTGCGATGTAGGCTGAAGGTGTGTGAGCAGAGGGTCGCCAGAGCCCCTCATGGTGTGAAACTCAAGAAAGGTGCAGGAGATGTTGAGCTGTGCTGAACCTGGGGCCAGAGCCAGAGGCCACGGCATGTGGATGGATATTAGTTTGAGTTTTAAAAACTCGACTGAAAAGGTGGCTCAAGTCTGTAATCCCAGCACTTTGGGAGGCCGAGGCAGGCGGATCTCCTGAGATCGGGAGTTTGAGACCAGTCTGACCATCATGGTGAAACGCCATCTCTGCTAAAAATACAAAAAATTAGCCAGGTGTGGTGGCGCGTGCCTATAGTCCCAGCTATTCGGGAGGCTGAGGCAGGAAAATCACTTGAACCCTGAAGGCAGAAGTTGCAGTGAGCCGAGATTTTGCCACTGCACTCCAGCCTGGGCAACAGACCGAGACTCCATCTCAAAAAAAAAAATATCAAAGGAAAGAGGGCCATGTGCCTGTCTGAGTTTGGCATCCTTCGGAAGCCCTGTCTTTTGTGTTCTGCCTCTGTCACCTCTTCCTGGTCTAGGCTTCCCCCATGTTCCCTGCCTGCCCCTCGCCCACATCTGTTGCCTCTCTGGCTCCCTAAGTCCTGTGAGTGTGGGGCCGGGCAGGCAAGCCTTCCATGGGGAACCAGTTGCCTTTCTAGCAGACTCTTCATTTCTGGATCTTCCCATTAGCTTTCCTGCAATACTCTCTTTCTCTGTCTCACAGCCAACTTGGTGAACTCCCCCTTTAGAGTTCATCCTGATGTCACATTTTCCAGGAGGCCTTCTCTGGCCTGCCCCTTAGTTATCCTTCATGGTCGAAGGCAGGCCTTTCTCCCTCTGCCTTTCCACCTCTGTGGCCCCAGCCCCTGCCTGGCCCAGAGTGCTAGGCAAGGGCCCCTCTGTTGAACAAATGGCCCCCCTCCTCCCCAGATCAGCCGCATCGAGTATATCCACTCCAAGAACTTCATCCACCGGGACGTCAAGCCCGACAACTTCCTCATGGGGCTGGGGAAGAAGGGCAACCTGGTCTACATCATCGACTTCGGCCTGGCCAAGAAGTACCGGGACGCCCGCACCCACCAGCACATTCCCTACCGGGAAAACAAGAACCTGACCGGCACGGCCCGCTACGCTTCCATCAACACGCACCTGGGCATTGGTGAGGGAGCCAGGCCTGGAGCAGTGTGCACCCGGGGCCACTGGCTGGGGCCCAGCTCTCTGGAGCCCTCTCACCCCCTACCCTGATGGAGGCCCCCAGGCTCTTTTCTAGTGAGAAAGTCCCCACCCCGTCTGCCCCCAAGCTCGTGCTTATTCCGTGTCCTTGCACAGTCGGGTCTTCCCCTTCGTAAGCCAAGCTGTGTGTGCCGGGCGCCTTCCCTGGCCCTGCTTCCTCCTCCGCCCTGTTGGTGCAGGCTGGAAGATACAGGCTCAGAGGTTTAACATGGGTTGCTTAAGGTCATGCAGCTTAGCTAATGCCAAAGCTGGACTTGACCCCGGCCCTGTCTGATGCTGAAGCTTGTGACCTCTCCACGGGGTGGGCCAGGCAAGGGGGCAGTAGGTGCCCTCTCATAGTCATTGAATGATTAAGTGCCTGAACTGGAAAAACTAGGCCCAAATTAAGTTGAGAAGGCCCTGCCTCAGGCTTCTTCTCTGTAGGAGGAGGATAATAGCAGTGCCTGTTTAAAATGCGTGCAGTGAGCAACATCCGACGTGGGGGCAGGAGGGTCCTGGTGCATTGTGAGGAGCATGACCCAGAGGATGAGTTAGGGGCCTGAGTGGACCCCTGTCCCTCACCTAGTCTTTGACTCTCTGTGCAGAGCAAAGCCGTCGAGATGACCTGGAGAGCCTGGGCTACGTGCTCATGTACTTCAACCTGGGCTCCCTGCCCTGGCAGGGGCTCAAAGCAGCCACCAAGCGCCAGAAGTATGAACGGATCAGCGAGAAGAAGATGTCAACGCCCATCGAGGTCCTCTGCAAAGGCTATCCCTGTGAGTAGCCCAGTGGGAGGGGACATGCCTGGGGGCCCCTGAGGCACTGTCTAAGGGAAAGGTGAGGCCATACAAAGCCCACGCTGGGGCTAGGCGCGGTGGTTCACGCCTGCAGTCCTGGCACTTTGGGAGGCCAAGGCAGGTGGATCATGAGGTCAGGAGGTCGAGACCAGCCTGAGTAACATGGTGAAACCCTGTCTCTACTAAAAATACAAAAATTAGCCCCACCTGTAATCCCAGCTACTCAGGAGGCTGAGGCAGGAGAATTGCTTGAACCTGGGAAGCGGAGGTTGCAGTGAGCCGAGATTGCACCATTGCACTCCAGTCTGGGTGACAGAGCGAGACATCATCTCAAAAACAACAACAACAAAGCCCACACTGGGCTGCCCCACAGCCCTTGGCACCTGAGCAGTAATCCCTGGCTCTTTGCCACTCCTTGGCACAGCCAGAAGGCCCGGTTTCCCTGTCCTGGCTGTTACACCTGTTGCTTCCCGGCCTACATTCCTGCCTCATCTCCCAAGGGCCCTCTCCCCAGTGTTTTTGAGGAGGAATTGGAAGTTTTCCTCTTCTTGCTTAGGTTGTGTTAGAAGGTCCCGTCAGGCTCTTGCAGTCCTTTGAATTTATGGCAACGATTGATCTGTGGGCCCCAGGGTGCTTGGCGAGGGCAGCGGAAGAGCTGTGGGCATGGATGGCTCCTGGATCCGGCTACCTGGCAGAGGCTCCTGGCCACTGTTCGCAGGTCTTCCCTTGCTCTGAAAGCAGCAGAGGCTCTGCTCACGGGCAGGCTAGGCTTTCATCACAGTAGGATAGGGAAGGCCATGGCTCTGTTGCCTCCTTTTCTTGCCTCTCACAGATTGGAAGTATCTAGGGACAGTGGGTGGCTAGGACAGTGCTGGCTGCAGGGGGTCTGGGAGCGTGGGCCTCACAGTGGCCTTCTCTATCCTCTGCAACACCCTCCAGCCGAATTCTCAACATACCTCAACTTCTGCCGCTCCCTGCGGTTTGACGACAAGCCCGACTACTCTTACCTACGTCAGCTCTTCCGCAACCTCTTCCACCGGCAGGGCTTCTCCTATGACTACGTCTTTGACTGGAACATGCTGAAATTCGTGAGTCACCTGGAGGCCAAGGCGGGCTTGGGGGACTGGATGGGGAAGGCCCTGACTCAGAGGGCCAGAGTGAGCTGGTGGCGGGAGGGGCTCCCGACAGACGGGAGGTACGAGCTGGACAGTGTGGTTGACCTCACTGGGGTCCCAGAGCCCTCCAGCCTCATCCGTGCTGACAGCTTGTGCCACCATGGGCAGCAGGGCCCAGGCAGGGCGCTGTCTCCCGTCGGAACAAGGAGGATCTGGCTTCACCTGGGGTCCCTCCTGGGTGCCCGCAGCAGGGCATGGGTGGTGCTGGCGGCGCCCCCTGCTGCCCTGATTGCTGCCTACACCGTCCTGCTGCTCCTGTTCTGCACATCCCAGGTGGCTACCTGCACCATGGCCCCTCGGGCCAGCCTGGACCCAGTCATGGTGCTTGCTTTCTTCTTGGTCATGGGCCCCTGGGTCTGGCTAGGCAGTTGTTCTGTTTCCCTCTTTTAAGAGTCCCAGGGGTGGGGTTGGGTGGGGAGCAGCATTGGCCGGCCGTACCCAGAGCTCTGGAATCTGTGAAATTGTATGTCTTGTTTCACATCTCTTCTGGAAAAGGGGGCTTCCTCGAGCCAGGCTCAGCCCCGTGACAGCCCCATGACAGCGAAGGGACCTTTCTGTCCCCGCCCCTGTCCCTGTGCTGGGCCCACGTACTCACCCACGTACTGGTAAGGATCCTCTGAGGTCTGGCTTTTCCAAAATTTGCCACTTGACCAGTGAGCGCAAGAGGCTGAGCCTCAGCTGTGCTTTTTGTCCCTTTCAGGTGCCCGGCTCCCCTGGGCACCCAGAGCCCCCCAGATAGGCCGGTGGAGGAGGTGGAGGAGCTGTCCCCCCAAAACTACTGGCCTGTGGTCTGGACTCCAGGGCCCCATTTCTGATGTCGCCAGGTGTGCCTGAGCCCATCGGGGCCAGGCCTGAGGAAGTGTTTCTTGGGAGGATGGGATGACCCCCTGTTCCCAAGAGATGGCAGCACAGTGGAGGCCATGGTGGAAAAGGCCCTGCCATGGGGTCCTTGAGGGCCAGGACAGCCTGAGGGAGGGATGGTGGCCACTGCCCACAAGGGGCCTGGTGGGAACGGGTCCCAGGACAGACTCATAGCTAGACCCCGTTGGCGGCCTCTGTGTTGAACCAGAACTCATTAAACACCTCCTCTTGCTTCATCCTGGTGTGCCTCTTTCATGGCAGGGCCCTCAGCCACCCTGCTAGATGGTTAGGACCAAGGCTCTGTTCTCCTGGAAGCCAAGGTCGGCACATTGGTCTTGGGCTTCTCTTCTCTCTGGGTTTCTTGTTCACTAAGGAGTAACACAGAGGTCAGGCAGAGAATGGGGGTCTCGCAGGCTAGGGACCTCAGGGAGAGGCCTCTGTTGCCCTTTTCAGCAAGGCTGGAAATGGGATATGGGCAGGGGACGTCTTCTCTGACTTCACCCTAGACCTTCTGGCTCCAAATGGGGCCCATGGCCTTGAGCACCTGGGACCAGCTCTTTCCACCACAGGGCATTGGGCACTGGGCACTTTCTTATCGAGATAGTCACTCCCACGTCTGGTTCGTGATGGGCTTGGCCCTCCAGCTCAGCACAACTGCAAGAATGGATTTTGTATTCTCTAGACGGACACTGTCCAAGATGGTAGCCATTGGCCACATGCGACACATTTTTAATGAATTAAAATTAATCAAGACTGGAAATGTCGGCCAGGCCTGGTGGCTCATGCCTGTAATCCCAGCACTTTGGGAGGCCATAGAGGGCGGATGACTTGAGGTCAGGAGTTTAAGACCAGCCTGGCCAACATGGTGAAACCCATTTCTACTAAAAACACAAAAATTAGCTGGGCATGGTGGTGTGTTCCTGTAATCCCAGCTGCTTGGGAGGCTGAGGCAGGAGAATCGCTTGAACCCAGGAGGCAGAGATTGGAGTGAGCTGAGATCATGCCACTGCCCTCCAGTGGCCACCACATCCGGCAAGGCAGATGGGACCATTTCCTTCATCCAGAACGTTCTGTGGACATCACTGCTCTAGGTTCCTCCCTTATGGAGTCTCACAAGACTGTCTAGCCAGCAAGATCTCTTTTCCAACCAGGCCAGGAGCACCTCTCCACCCACTGCTGCTGGTCTGACCGCCTTCCTGGAAGTCCCTCTTGAGGCAGGCCCTGGAGTTAGAAGCTGGGCAGAGGCACCCACAGCCTTATCCTTTGCCAATCTCTGACTCAATGCCACGGCCACTGTAGTGAGCTGAACCACCTCCAGCAGTCCCCTGGCAGAAGCACCTGGAAAACATGCAATGGGAACCTTCACCCTGAGGCCAGGCCCTTCCCATGCTACCCAACAGTAGACAGGACACCCTGTGTTGTTGGCTGCACCGGGGTGCTGGGATCTGTGGATCCCTGGGGCCTGGAAGCCACTCTCAGCACATACAGCCACTGTGTTCCGAGGTCCAGTCAGCTGGCCGGGAAGGAATTCAACACAGCCAAGGACAGAGGTCCATATGATGACGGGTGGATGCTCGTGTGACTTTGCTGACCTTTTATGTTTTCTATGGGCAATAAAGGCCAAGAGAGCTCCCTGCTGTGTGTTTCTTGCGTCCTATGGGTTGGATGGGACCATGGAGAGTCGCCCACTTCTTGCCTCGGGGCTGGCAATGGCCTGAGCCTGCTGGGCTCACAAAGGGCAGGGGCTCCAGCCCTCTGCTTGGCTGCTGGCTGCAGGGCTCCACACCTTGGAGTGAGTCACTCAGCCTCTGTATCCCAAGCATGGAAATGAGATTGACCTGCCTCACAGGGTTGATGTGACTCTGCCCGCAGAAGGTTCGGCACGGAGGTGCCACAGCTCGTGTTCCTCCCCAGGCTTTGCTGTGGCTCTGGCTGAGTCACTGTTGGCCAGCCTGCAACCGAGTGGGAGCCCAGGGTGAGGACCGGAGGTCAGGAGTTAGAGCCCCGGTGGTCCCAGGCCTGCCTGAGAGGCTTCTGGGTGGGAGGATGGGAAGATGCATCTTCTAGAGTGTTCTAAGGCAAGACTCTGAACAGTGACCTCTTGGGGTGCAGAGAGCAGAGTGGGACTAGGTGGCAGAGGCCTGGGTTCAGACCCTAGCTCTGCCCTGAGCTGTGCAACCCCGGGCAGGTCACAAGGCCTCTCTGGGCCTTGGTGCCTCACTAAGATTCAGGGATCATTCTGGTCCTAGCCACTACTTCCTGGAGTTGCTTAAAGACAGGGCCCACCCCCACCTCTTGGCCAGTCTCCTGGGAGAGACATGGGTTGCAGGAACCACACCCTGTGCCCATGAGCAGGCCCCCAACTCAGCCCAGAGCTCTCTCCTCCACAGATGCGGCCCCCTTCCTGCCAGCCCCCTGCCCTTCCCTGTGGACGGCCCCAGGATGAACTAGGTAACGCAGTCGGGCGCTGCCCCCACATATGCTCTTCTCTGGCCCCTTCTCACTTCCTCCTGCACCAGGGGCGGCAGTGGCTGGACAGCAGGGCACCTGGGGGCTTAGGGTACCCCTTCTGCTCCAGCTTTGCCTGCTGGGCCTCTTCTTCCTCCGTGGGGAACGTGGCCCCATTTTCTTCTCCAGCTCCCCTTGAGCTTCTGTCCCAAGGCAGGCGGTGTCTGTGGGTTCCCTGGGCCTCCTGGCTGTGGCCTCCACTGCACCTGCCAGAAGCCATTGCCAGGTCCCGGCAGGGGGAAGGACAGCTCCCTGATGAGAAGAGCCCCTGGCTAGGTACCGGGAGAGCTGGTCTGAGTCCTAGCCCAGCCTTCCACTAGTTTTGTGACTCTGGGCCTGTTCTTTTCCCCCTCTGGACACCCCTAGCCAGTCTGCTAGAGGCCTCTAAACAGCTTTCCTGCTCGGTTTAGCAACCTTGAGTAGTTAAGGGCTCTTGGTACACAGAGGGGGGCCAGGGCAGGCCCAGCCCCAGGTCAGGAGGGCCAAGAGGTGCTCTTGATCATCCTGGGCGCATTAGTTGTCCTTTCTCTGGCTCCATCCCAGGAGAGCAGGGCAGACTGACCTCCCTCTGCCCCCAGACTCCTGCTTTCTCCTTCCTCTGGTGGTTGTGTGGCTTCGTGTCTCTGTGCTGTGTGATTGTGGGTCTTGGCTTCCCGCGCTTGTCAGGGAGGCTGGAGCAGAAGGTTTCTGAGATATCCACCTGGCCTCCCTCCCCTTCTGTGCCCTGCAGGGCTGCTGGGCCCAGAGCACCCTGGCCTCTGGGGCTGACTGGTGTCTTTTCTTGCATCCCTGCAGGGTGCAGCCCGGAATCCCGAGGATGTGGACCGGGAGCGGCGAGAACACGAACGCGAGGAGAGGATGGGGCAGCTACGGGGGTCCGCGACCCGAGCCCTGCCCCCTGGCCCACCCACGGGGGCCACTGCCAACCGGCTCCGCAGTGCCGCCGAGCCCGTGGCTTCCACGCCAGCCTCCCGCATCCAGCCGGCTGGTGAGCAGGGACTCAGGCAGTGGGCTGGGTTCAGGGTGGGTGGGGGGCTCTGTTTGTGCCTACTCTGAGGGTGGCTTCCCACTCTCCCTCCAGGCAATACTTCTCCCAGAGCGATCTCGCGGGTCGACCGGGAGAGGAAGGTGAGTATGAGGCTGCACAGGGGTGCGCCCGCCAACGTCTCCTCCTCAGACCTCACTGGGCGGCAAGAGGTCTCCCGGATCCCAGCCTCACAGGTGAGCTGCCCCCCTGCCAGTCCCTCTGGGCCTCAGAACTGAGTTAGAGACCCCCCAGTGGGAGGTCAGGCCGTGGCTCTGTTCTTCCCTTTCCATCGACGCTGCTTGCCTTGGAGTGAACCCCTTCTGTAGAGCCAGGACTTGGCCTCATTTAATCCTCTGAGGTCTGATGAGCCCTCTTGAGCAAAGTCATTCACCAAGGCTCAGGGCAGTAACATTCCCTGGCAAGTGGCACAGCTGGGCTCCAGTCCTCGCTGCCAGGGGCCCAGCCAGGGTGGGCAGCAGGGGCTCAGAGATGAGGTGTTGCTGCTCCCTGACATCAGGGAGCCCCCAGGAGCCCCTGTGAGCATTGGCAAGAGCATGGGGTGTAGGGGCAGTGAGGTCCCATCCTCTTTGGGGCTATGTTTGGATGGGGACACTTGGGAAGGGGGAATCTGTAGTTGCCCAGGGCAGGTGGCCTGGCAGAGGTGGGTGGGAGCCCTGCCCTCGTCCTCCTGCCTGTGGGCGAGGAGGGAGTCCTGCGAGAGAACCCTCATTGGCCATCTACTTAGGTAGCAGGTTTGCCTCCCTGGGCAACATTCTTAGCTACAGACAGGGACATCTTAGAGTCACTGGAATCACACAGGCCTTCCCTCAGCTTGAGGGGCTGCCTGGAGGTGGGGGTGGGGGTACACCTCCTCAGTGGGGAGAGACTTGCCAAATCTCTATCGCCAGCGGCTAAGGGACTTGACTTGAAGCTTGTACCTCCCTCTCTCTCCCTCCCCCTCTCTCCCTCCCCACCCTCAAAAGACAAGTGTGCCATTTGACCATCTCGGGAAGTGAGGAGAGCCCCCATTGGACCAGTGTTTGCTTAGGTGAGTCCATGACTGCTGCAGATGCAGCCAGCCCAGCCGACCTAGAAGCTCCCAGGGCCCCAGAAAGAGACCAATGTGTTGTGGAGGGGTGGGTGGCAGTGGCAGTGGCAGATGGTACCAGGCGCCCCAGAACTCTAAGGGGCCTCAAGTAGTTTAAAACCTCGGAGGCTGCCTGACTTGGGGCCAAGGGTTTCTATGCTCAGGCCTGACCCCTCATGGATTAGTTTCTGCTGGAAAAACTTTTTCTGCCCTCGGCCAGGTCTCTATCTCCTTCTGCCTTAACATATTTTGGAAGGTTGGTTCCCAGCAGAGACGGGGCCATGGGCTCACACTCTGACCTCTCCCACGGCATTAGCCCTGTCTCAGCCTCTGGGCTGTTACGCAAGTTAATTCCTGCACAAGACTCACAACAGGGCTGTGGAGGAAGCAAAGGAGCCCTTTTTATGCCTCTGTAGTAGGACTGAGAGAGGCCCTCTGGCCAGCGTGAGCCTGCTGGTTCTTCCCGGACTGTACCAGGCCTTGAGGCGGGGTATGGAAACGCCCCACTCTGGGGCCTGGCTTGGGGAAGGGGAGGCGGCAGGGGTTCTTTGGGCTTCTCGAGGGTATAATCTGAGCTCTCTGGGGAACGTGTGTCCATTTGTAGGCAGTAGTCCGACACGTCGGGGGACTCAACTTTACACTGGGACAATCTGTGTGTGGTCTGTTTTGTAGAAATTCATCCACACAAGAGAGTGGAGGCATGAACAGGGCTGGCCTTCCTCGGATCTCAGGCCCAGGAACCAAGCTGTCCATGGCGGGCTGGGCAGATATTTGGGGGTGGGGTGGGGAGATGCTCACCAGGAGGGCAGAGAAGGGAGAGAATCCGTTTCTGTCACATGAAGATGGATCTCCTAGCGTGCTGGGCCTTGAGCCAGGCTCTGGGGCCCAGAGGGAGATAGACCAAGGGACGAGAAGACAGGAGTTTGGGGGGCCAAGTGCAGTGGCTCGCACCTGTAATCCCAGCACTTCGGGAGGCCCAGACAGGTGGGTCACTTGAGGTCAGGAGTTCGAGACCAGCCTGGCCAACATGGTGAAAACCCATCTCTACTAAAAACACAAAAATTAGCCGGGTGTGGTGGCACACACCTGTAATCTCAGCTACTCGGGACGCTGAGACAGGAGAATTGCTTGAATCTGGGAGGTGGAGGTTGCAGTGAGCCGAGATCGTGCCACTGCACTCCAGCCTGGGGGACAGAGCGAGACTCCATCTCAAAAAAAAAAAAAAGTAGCCAGAGACAGCTGTGTACCTCACCTGTCTTTTCCCTTCTCCCTTCTAGTGTCTTCACTGTATTTTCTTTAAAAAAAAAAAAAAAAAAAAAAAGGCAAAAATAAACCACTCAAAAGAACAACAAAAAAACCCAGCACAAAACCGACGATGGAGTTTGTTTCTTTGATTTCTTTGCCAATGGCAAGAAGATGAGATGCCCTCAGCACTGAGGATTCTTGCCCCCTTGTGGTGCCCGCTGCCCCCAACCTTCAGGCTGCCAGATGCTCCCCTGACAACACCAGGCTACAGGAGCCAGACGCCAGGGCCTGCCCGGCCTCCTGTTCCTGCCCCCACCCACCACCTGCCTGGAGAGGAACGGGTCGGGTCCGTGTCGGAGAAGTGACAGGTCCCAGAGCCAAAGCCGGCCCTCAAGCATCATCAGGGAGTGGTGTAGTCAGTTGAAGGCAGTTCCCACCGAGTTTTCCGAGCCTCAGAATCCAGGAGATACGCACAGCCCCACCCACTCTGAGATGACAGTGGCTGACTTCCCGTGCTGGGCTTTTCCATTGTCCCCCTGGCCTCCAGGCTCCTCCTCTGCCTCTCCATGGAGTGGGTGGGGAGGTGGTGGGGGCCGGCGTCCCCTGCGTGTGTGTGTGTGTGTGTGTGTGTGGATGTATTGACCTGTGTTTCCCAAGACAGCAGGTGCCACGGCCCGCCCCGCCTGCCAGCCCGAATTCCCGTTCTCCTGTGTCTACTAACAAGGACATGGGGGTGGGCGGTGACCTCCGCATCCCTCAGAGCTCAGAGGGTCCTCGCTGCCACCGGTCCCCCCCTAGCCCGTCATCAGCCGGTGGCAGCTCCATCTTCCATTCCTGGTTTTAGGGCAGAATCCATGGAGACTGCTTCCAGAAGGCATCTGGCTCTGAGTTATAAATTACTTCCCTGGTCCTGACAGTCACCTGGGGTCCCCCCTCTCCCTGGTTCCACCTTTCTGAGGAGGAGCCTGGAGTCAGGGCTGGGTTTTGGATTAACCCATCCTTCCTAGTTAACACCTTTTTGTTTTTATTTTATTTTATTTTTGTTTGTTTTCTCCGTGTGTGTGTTTTCCTAATTTATTTACCTCTGTTTCCCCTTTTTCCTTTTTTTTTTTAATTAAAGAGCAAAGCTTTTTATTACTTTGTAATTTAAAAAACTGAAAAAAAAAAAACTGAAGAACTTTGGGGGGAATTTTGTACTTTTTTCCTGTGTAAATATTGGACTTTTTTGAGCTTTATCGTGGTTGTTAATTTGAAGTAATAAAGTAGAAAAGATAAAGTGATGCAGGCAGCCCTTTGTCCACCTCTGTGCCCTTAGGGCCTCTCCCTGCAGACCCGGAAGTGGGTCTTGCTGGGAGCAGCAGGAGTCAGTGAGGAACAAGCCCTCGCCCTGAAGGCAGGTGTGGCTGGGGCCACTTTCAGAACACTTGGGCTGTGGTTGGGATGTCCGGGGGCTTTGAAAACACGAGTGCACACAGGTGCCACGCCACAGGTGCCACGCGGGGGTCTTGTAAAGAGGGCTGGGGTGGGGCTGAGAGCTTCCCCCTGCACACTCCAGGTGTGCTGATGGCCTGGGGCCCCTCTTTGAGAAGCAAGGCCCTAAAAGCTCTTCACACATGATTTTATCCACACAAGTATCCTGAGTTAGGTCCTGTTAATAGCCCTGCCTTCGGACAAGAAACTGGTCCTGCTGTAAAATATCTTGCCCACAGTCACAGCTCTGGTGGCAGAGGCAAGACGAGCCGAGGTCATCTCGCTGTGGGGGTTGTGGGGGTGCTCTGACCCTCTCCACTGCTGACCCTGGGGCTCCATGAAGGAGAGTGCTGGAGCGAGCTCTGATAGTGACTCTGGATGAGGTCCTTCAGTCAAGCCTTGATAAAAGGGCAGCGCTCAGCCTCGCCTGCCTTGGTCTCACCAGCTTGGAAAAGAATCTGTCCATCTGCATTTACCCAACACAGTTTACTTCCTTTCGTCAACCGAAGAGCCATTATTGCCACAGTCTCAACCCAGAGGCAAGACGGAAGCTGTCTGGCTGATAGGTCTGCCTGGGAAGCGGATGGAGGGCCCTGGGAGGTTCCCCTCGGGCGTTTTGAAATCCTGGACATAGGTCAAGGCGCCTTCCAGTGCTGGCCGTCAAGACCCAGTGACCCACAGGCTCACGGCCTGGTGGAGGGTTTCCTGCTGTGTGAGGCCCAAGTAAAGGTGGGTCCCCTTTACAGGCATCAGGTATCAGGTGTGTTACCAAAGCCAGGAAATGCCAGTAGGCCCTGGAATGGCAGGTGCTAAGCAGAGCCTGGGCCTTGGGGCTGGGTGGCAGCCAGGAGTCAGTGGTCAATTGGTCAGCCTGCGAAGAGCCATTTTGTTCACCCGCACTTGGTTGAATGAGGTGCTGGGGGAATGCAGCAGAGAGTTCCCCTGCCTCCCTGGACTTTAGGACCTTCTGGGATGGACAACCTGACACCAGACAGCGAGTGGAAGTTACCAACTAGAGGCCCTGAGAGAAAATAATAAGGAGCTGGTCTTTGTCTTTTACAGTGAAAAGTATAGTTTTGTTTTTTTTTTTGTTTTGTTTTGTTTTTGAGACAGGATCTTG
This sequence comes from Homo sapiens, assembly GCF_000001405.40. Lineage (NCBI taxonomy): Eukaryota > Metazoa > Chordata > Mammalia > Primates > Hominidae > Homo > Homo sapiens. Next base: position 38,289,380 of record NC_000022.11, on the reverse strand, counting down.
CTCTGTCACCCAGGCTGGACTGCAGTGGTGAAGTCATGGCTCACTGCAGCCTCAACTTCCCAGGCTCAAGGGATCCTCCTGCCTCAGCCTCCCTAACAGCTGGGACCACAGGTGCGTGCCACCATGCCTGGCTAACTTTTGTATTTTTTGTAGAGATTAGATCTCACTGTGTTGCCCAGGCTGGTCTTGAACTCCTGGGCTCAAGCAATCCTCCCACCTCAGTCTCCGAAAGTGCTGGATTTACAGGCATGAGCCATTGTGCCCACCCTATTTAATCAATTTTAATAATAAGCTAATGCTTCTCCCCCTCCTCTTTTTTGGTTTATTTTTTGGATATGAAGGTGTTTACATACACGAAAGTCAAGCTGTCTAAAAAGCTATAATCTGAGAATCCCTCCCGCCCCTGCTGCTCTGCCCCATTTCTACCCATCATGCTTCTTCCTGCATTCCTTTCTTAGAGAGCTAATGTTTGGGAGTGGGCAGTGACTGACAGCCTCTAAGGAAGTGACATTAATGCGTCAACCATACAGTTTAAGTACACCAAATAATCACAAGGAAATTTTGCCCCTACCAGAGGGGGCAAACAGGCACCTGGTGAGTCATTTTCATTCATGCCACAAAAAACACTTGCTAACTGGGCTTTTGTGTGGGCACCAGGGTGCCAGCTACTAGGCTGGAGGTGGTGCAGGCGTGGAGGGTTGGGAGCACAGGATTGGCATCCTGGGGGCTTCGGGCACATCTCAGTTTCCTCCTCTGTAATGTGGAGGTGATGATGCCTGTTTCTTTCTTTTTTTTTTTTTTTGAGACGGAGTCTCGCACTGTCGCCCAGGCTGGAGTGCAGTGGCGCGATCTCGGCTCACTGCAAGCTCTGCCTCCTGGTTTCACGCCATTCTCCTGCCTCAGCCTCCCGAGTAGCTGGGACTACAGGCACCCCCAACCACGCCCGGCTAATTTTTGGTATTTTTAGTAGAGATGGGGTTTCACCGTGTTAGCCAGGATGGTCTCAATCTCCTGACGTCGTGATCCACCCTCCTCGGCCTCCCGAAGTGCTGGGATTACAGGCAGGAGCCACCGCGCCCGGCTGATGATGCTTGTTTCTGAGGGTTGCCAGAATTCAGTGAGACCTCAGATGAACACAAGGGCTAAGCTCATTGAGGGTTCACCTGTGCCAGGCCATTTCCAACCCTTTGCTCCCAAAAAGACTGCGAGGTTAACGTATTATGTTCCTTATATTATTTTATTTATTTTTTGAGATGGAGTTTCGCTCTTATTGCCCGGACTGGAGTGCAATGGCACGATCTTGGCTCACTGCAACCTCCGCCTCCCAGATTCAAGTGATTCTCCTGTCTCAGCCTCCCGAGTAGCTGGGATTACAGGCATGCGCCACCACGCCAGGCTAATTTTGTATTTTTAGTAGAGACGGGGTTTCTCCATGTTGGTCAGGCTGGTCTCGAACCCCTGACCTCAGGTGGTCCACCCACCTCAGCCTCCCAAAGTGCTGGGATTACAGGCGTGAGCCACCGTGCCCAGCCATATGATCCCTATTTTATAGATGAGGACCCTGAGGCACAGAAAAGATGCCCTGGCTCGACAGCCCATGCTGCTAACATTGACTCCACAGTCCCAGGTGCCTCCTAAGCGCTCTGTTGGGATAACTCCTTGTTTCAAACATGAAGTGTGAATCTTCCTTCCAGGGACTCATGGCCTAGTCAGGGGAAGGACTCAGAGTAGCAAGTGGTTCACCCCAATCCAGAATCCAGTGTGAGAGGCCTAGTGTGAACTCAGGACAAAGGAGGGTGGGAATGTGTCTGGTATCATCAAGGAAGGTGTTTCAAAGGTACTCGGCCTGAGCCTTGAGATGTGAGTGGGATTTTGCTAGGGAAAGTCATTCTCAGCAGAGGCAACAGCATGTGCAAAGGCCCAGAGGTAAGAACTAGCATGAGATACTCAGGGAGGTCCAAACGGAGTGGGAGGGAGACAAGTCACAGTGGCTGAGGCTGGAGAAGTCCGATCCTGCAGAAGCAGGCTTGCATCCAGAAAGCTCTCCCACTCCCTAGCTGCAAGCAGCTCGGCCTTCTTGAGCCCTGATTTCCTAATCTGTAACATGGGGAGAATTGTCTGCACAGAGGCTGTTATGCCCCCTTAGCCTGACCCCTTCCGGGCCCACTCGCCTGACTTCCATCAGGCAGCACCTCCTGGACCTTGGGGAGCTGCTGCTGGGGGAGGGGCACGATGGAAGTTAACTTGGGGAATGTGAATCTGGCAACAGTGGGCAGGGAGATTGGAGAACAGAGAAAGGAGGCAGGAAGAAGGCTTAGGGAGCTGAGGTCACGACCCAGGCACGAGGTGTCCGGGAGGCCAGGATGACTGAACTGCTTCAGAACAAGATCTGTTCTTTTTTTTTTTTGAGACAGAGTCTCGCTCTGTTACCCAGGCTGGAATGCAGTGGCAAGATCCTGGCTCACTGCAGCTTCCGTCTCCCAGGGTCAAGCAATCCTCCCAAGTAGCTGGGATTACAGGCGCACGCCACCATGCCTAGCTAATTTTTGTATTTTTAGTAGAGACGGGGTTTCACCATGTTGGCCAGGCTGGTCTCGAACTCCTGAACTTGTGATCCACCCACCTTGGCCTCCCAAAGTGCTGGGATTACAGGCAGGAGCCACTGCGCCCAGCCGGTCTGTTCTTAGCAGAATGAGAGACAGGGAGAAATCGAGAGGCTCTGGGGCTGCCAGCCTGGGGTCCTGGGACCACGAGCATGGCAGGATCACTGATGGGAAGCTAGCTTGGGTAGGGGAGGGGCATATTCTCAGCCCCAAGCCAAGGAGGGGCAGCCAGCAAGAGAGGTGCTCAGCCAGAGGAGTGGGGCATCGGGAGGCGGCTGGTCAGCTCAAAGCAACAGGGTAGTGGGAAAGGCAAGGCTGGCAAAAAGGGGCCCTGCCTGGCCATTTCCCCCGATTACCCTCTTTTCAAAATTGAATTACAGGGCCAGGCATGGTGGCTCACGCCTTGCTATTCCCAGCACTTTGGGAGGCTGAGGCAGGTGGATCACCTAAGGTTAGGAATTGAAGACCAGCCTGGCCAACATGGTGAAATCCGTCTCTACTGAAAATACAAAAATTAGCCAGGTATGGTGGTGCATGCCTGTAATCCCAGCTACTTGGGAGGCTGAGACAGGAGAATAGCTTGAACCCGGGAGGCAGAGGTTGCAGTGAGCCAAGATTGTGCCATTGTACTCCAGCCTGGGTGACAAGAGCGAGACTCTGTCTCAAAAAAAAAAAAAAAAGAATTATAGACCAGGTGTAGTGGGTCATACTTGCAGCAATTTGGGAGACTGAGGTGGGAGAATAACTTGAACCCAGGAGTTCAAGGCCAGCCTAGGCATCATAGTGAGCCTCCATCTCTATTTTCAAAAATAAAAATTAAAAAATTGAATTGTAATTTATGCACAGAAAAATGCACACATCTTGAGCGTACATTTTCCTTTTTCCCTTTTTTTTTTTTTTGAGACGGAGTCTTGCTCTGTTGCCCAGGCTGGAGTGGCGATCTCGGCTCACTGCAACCTCCAATTCTCCTACCTCAGCCTCCCGAGTAGCTAGGACTACAGGCACACACCACCACAACAAGCTAATTTTTGTATTTTTAGTAGAGATGAGGTTTCACCATGTTGGCCAGGCTGGTCTCGAACTCCTGACCTCAGGCAATCCACCTGCCTCAGTCTCCCAAGTGCTGGGATTACAGGCATGAGCCACCACACGTGGCCTGGAGTGTACGTTTTTCTACTCCCGTGTAGTCACTGCCTGGATGAAGATGTAGGTGCTTGTTAATATTCCAGCACATCTCCTCATGCCCCTTCCCTTCCACACCCCGCTCCCCCATACACACACAGGTATCCACTCCTCTAAGTTCTATCACAGGTTATGTGCGGAGTGAGAAGGGAGGCTTGGAGCTCAAGAGAGGAAGAGGAAGGCCTGAGCTGGGACACTCTCACAGGCTCGGCTGGTGGGAGGAGTTTGTTGTGAGGTCGAAGAGGCCTGCAAGTGTTTTGGAGGCCACAGAACTCTTGAGCTGGGGGTGTCCAAGAGTAGACAGCAAAAGATTCTGAAAAGGAAGGAGGGGAGGGACCAGGGAGACTTTGACCTGGGACAAAAGAAGGGGCTGGGTTTCCTCTGCACTTGGTCTCGTCACCTCCCCTCTGTTTTTTATCTCCTTCAAAAATACAAGCTCCAGCCGGGCGTGGTGGCTTCTGCCTGTAATCCCAGTACTTTGGGAGCCTGAGGCAGGCGGATCACGAGGTCAGGAGATTGAGACCATCCTCGCCAACATGGTGAAACCCCATCTTTACTAAAAATACAAAAATTAGCTGGTCATGGTGGTGAGTGCCTGTAATCCCAGCTACTCAGGAGGCTGAGGCAGGAGAATCGCTTGAACCTGGGAGGTGGAGATTGCAGTGAGCTGAGATCGCACCACTGCACTCCAGCCTGGCAGCAGAGCGATACTCCGTCTCAAACAAACAAAATAAATAAATAAATAAATAAAAATACAAGCTCCTGAAGTCACTGGCCTGCTCCTAGGGGGTAGCATCCCCTCTCCATTCACTGCCTGCCCGCTTCCTACCCTTGGTGCTCCCAACCCAGGGTTTCCTAAGGGAGAATGGATCAGGCAGACCCCTGAAGCAGCTCCAATGGAAGCCCCTTTAGTGCAGCATTATTTTTATTTATTTATTTATTTGAGACAGGGTCTTGCTCTGCTGCCCAGGCTGGAGTGCAGTGACAGGATCATGGCTCACTATAGCCTCCACCTCCCAGGCTCCAGTGATCCTTCTACTAGCTAGGGCCACAGGCATGCACCACCATGCCTGGATAATTTTTCCTTTTTTTTTTTTTTTTGGTAGAGACAGGGTTCTCTCTATGTTGCCCAGGCTGGTCTCAAACTCCTAGGCTCAACCCATCCTCCAGCCTCAGCCTCCTGAAGTGTTTGGATTACAGGCATGAGCCACTGCGCTTGGTGAGCAATGCAAAGTGTTATAGCAAAGTGAAATATTCTCTCTCTCCCGTCCTCTCCTCCCTCCTCTCATCTCTGCTTTATTTCAGAAACAGATGTGGAAACAGTTATGGCTAAGAATGCTCAGTCCCCATGGCCTCTTTCCCAGAGCCTACAGCACAAGCGCCCACAGGAACACAACTGGTCATTGGAGAAGTCCACACATTCCAAGCTCTGACCTCACTCTGCCCAATGACCAGGCATCCGTAATTTGTTCTCAAAGCAGCCTTCTCCAGGGTCTGCCTATTTCCCGCCTGCATGTGGGTCAGGGAGGGAGAAATGCCCAGGTGCAGGATAAAGGTTGCCATGAAGCCGTCTTTTTCTCCTTCTCCTCCCTCTGTCCTCCTCTTCTTTCACCCTAGCCTTGGGCACCAACAGCAGCTCTCTATCCTTTCAAGTGGCCCACGTGAAGTGGTGTCCCGTAGCCTGCTGAGGTTCAGGAAGGTAAACATCCAGTGTTTGACTTCACCAAGGTTGCCGGTGCAGGAAGGGCTGATGGGATAAGCAGAGGGTTCAGCCCTGAAGCTGTGGGAGGAGCACTGCCCCTTTAAGAAGGCAAACCTCACAGCTGTAATCCCAGCACTTTGGGAGGCCGTGGCGGGCAGATCACCTGAGGTCAGGAGTTAGAGGCCAGCCTGGTCAACATGGTGAAACCCCGTCTCTACTAAAAATACAAAAATTAGGCGGGGCGTGGTGGCACACGCCTGTAGTTCCAGCTACTTGGAAGGCTGAGACAGGAGAATTGTTCGAACCCAGGAGGCAGAGGTTGCAGTCAGCTGAGATTACGCCACTGAACTCCAGCCTGGGTGACAGAGCAAGACTCCATCTCAAAAACAAACAAAAGAAAGGCCCACCTGGGGCAAAGGATGCCTACAGATAGTAACCTGGGCTCCTCCACGGCCCTTGAAGAATGTCTTCTCAAGTAATTATGCCTCCCAAGGACTTTCATCCCAGCATCTTGAAAGCACGTAGTGTAATTAACTTTGAAGTCACCCCATCCAGGTTTACCAAGGGCAGGCCTGAGACCTGATGAGTCACTGCAGCTCTGCCACTCAGGCCTCTTGGTTCCTCCTCTCCCCTTTTCCTCCCTCTTGTTGCAGCTTCCCTGAGAAAACCCAGGACCTGGCTGGGGGCGGTGGCTCATGCCTGTAATCCCAGCACTTTGGGAGGCTGTGGTGGGCAGATCATGAGGTCATGAGTTTGAGACCAGCCTGGCCAACACAGTGAATCCCTGTCTCTACTAAAAATATAAAAATTAGCTGGGCATGGTGGCGTGCATCTGTAGTCCCAGCTACTTGGGAGGCTGAGGCAAGAGAATCGCTTGAACCCGGGAGGCGGAAGTTGCAGTGAGCCGAGATCGTGTCATTGCACTCTAGCCTGGGCGACAAAGAGAGACTCCATCTCAACAAAAAAAAAAAAAAGAAAAGAAAAGGAAAACCCAGGACCCAGCCTCCCCAGCTCCCTGCATGCCCCTGACCCAAAGGTGGACCTCCCTTTCCTGATGGCATGTCCCGGACAGGTGACTACATCCGGGGATTTTGTAAAGAATCTGAAACATGTTCCTGGTGATTCCAGGAAAACTGATAGGAAATCCTTCTCTGTAGCCTGTTTTTGTTCGCTTGTTTGTTGGCTACGTAAGTTTGAAGTGGGACTCATCTCACCGAGGATGGAGCCACAGGTCACATGTGCAACTGAGAGAGACAGAGAAAGGAAGCTTCTTCTCTCTTGTGTCTCCTACTCAGGATCCTTACACAGCAATCTGTGAATCACCACCAGCTGCATACCTGATTCACTCACACACACACCCCAGGTAGCGCACCCAATCGGAATGGCCTTGTTCTGCTTGCGGATGGCCATTGATATCCTGAATGTCACCACCCCAACAAGAAGGGCTGCGTGAAGTTGGAAGCATTTTCGGTTGCTGGCTGATTTCCACCAAGCGGGGGCTGGCATAGGTTCACGGGTTCATTTCACAAACAGGCTGCCCAGGTGTGACCTTGGTCAAGTAACATTGCCTCTCTGTGCCTCAGTTTCCTCATCTGCCAGGTGGCACTCACAAGATCTTGGTTGACATTGCCTGCCACGTAATGAATGCTTAATGAACAGCAGCGGTGATGAAGATGATGAAGGACAGTCATGCCTGCCCCTGCGTGTCAGGTTCTGGGAACAAAAAGATGATTAAGATCCAGTCCCTTTTGCCCTCTGTTTGTGTCAGCACCCATTCTCCTGACTTCCAGAAATTTCCTGTACTTTGAAAATCACACACAAGGCCAGGCCCGGTGGCTCACACCTGTAATCCCAGCACTTTGGGAGGCCAAGGCTGGTGGATCAGGAGTTCAAGACCAGTCTGACCAATATAGTGAAACCCTGTCTCTACTAGAAATACAAAAATTAGCCAGGCGTGGTGGCAGGCGTGTGTAGTCCCAGCTACTCGGGAAGCTGAGGCAGGAGAATAGCTTGAACCCAGGAGGCAGAGGTTGCGGTGAGCTGAGATCGTGCCACTGCACTCCAGCCTGGGCAACGGAACAAGACTCCGTCTCAAAAAAATAAAAATAAAAATAAAAATAAATAGATAAATAAATAAAATCACACACAAATATTTGCATTAAGGGCTGGGCACGGTGGCTCATGCCTGTAATCCCAGCACTTTGGGAGGCTGGGGCAGGCAGATCACTTGAAGTCAGGAGTTCGAGACTAGCTTGGCCAACATGGTGAAACCTGTCTTTACTAAAAAAAAAAATTAGCCGGCTGAGTGCAGTGGCTCACGCCTGTAATCCCAGCACTTTGGGAGGTTGAGTTGGGCAGATCACAAGGTCAGGAGTTCGAGACCAGCCTGACCAATACGGAGAAACCCTGTCTCTACTAAAAATACAAAACTTAGCTGGGCGTGGTGGCACATGCCTGTAATCCCATCTACTCAGGAGGCTGAGGCAGGAAAATTGCTTGAACCCGGGAGGCGGAGGTTGCAGTGAGCTGAGATCCCACCACTGCACTCCAGCCTGGGCGACAGAGCGAGACTTCATCTCAAAAAAAAAAAAAAAAAAAAACTTAGCCAGGCGTGGTGGTGCACACCTGTAGTCCCAGCTACCCAGGAGGCAGAGGCGGGAGAATTTCTTGAACCTGGGAGGCGGAGGTTGCAGTGAACCGAGATCGTGCCATTGCACTCCAGCCTGGACAACAGAGTGAGACTCTGTCTCAAAAAAAAAAAAAAAAAAGATGGAGTCTCACTCTGTTGTCCAGGCTGGAGTGCAATGGCGCGATCTCGGTTCACTGCAACCTCCGCCTCCCAGGTTCAAGAAATTCTCCTGCCTCAGCCTCCCGGGTAGCTGGGATTACAGGTGCCTGCCACCATGCCCAGCTAATTTTTGTATTTTTAGTAGAGACGAGTTTTACCATGTTGGTCAGGATGGTCTTGATCTCTTGACCTTGTGATCTGCCTGCCTCGGCCTCCCAAAGTCCTGGGATTACAGGTGTGAGCCACCACGCCCCGCCGAGACTCCGTCTTAAAAGAAAAATTGCATTAATGAGGCATCCAGTATGCATTACCCTGCATGATGTATTTTTTTTCCCACTTGATGACAGGGACAATGAAAGTTTTATCAGGGACCTGAAGGAAGGGTAGGAATTAACTAGGAGAAGGAAAGGGATGGAGACAGCAGTGAGAAAGGGTGTGTTTTAGGTGATGGGAACAGCAGCATCAAGGCTGTGATACTAGACACAACGTGGCTGCTGGAAATACAATCATTGGTGACAGTGTGAGGGGCAGATTTGCTTAAAAACTGGCCTACTGGCCAGACACAGTGGCTCATGCCTCTAATCTTAGCACTTTGAGAGGCCAAAGCAGGAGGTTCACTTGAGGCCAGGAGTTTGAAACCAGCCTAGACAACATAGCGAGACCCTGTCTCTACAAAAAAAAAAAAAAAGAAAAAAAATTAGCTGGGCCTGGTGGTATGTACCTGTAGTCTCAGCTACTTAGGAGGCCAAGGCAGGAGGATTGTTTGCGCCCACGAGTTCAAGGTTTCAGTAAGCCATGATCATGCCACTGAACTCCAGCCTGGGCGACAGAGAGAGAGACAGAGAGAGACCCCGTTTCAAAAAAAACAAAAAACAACAACAAAAACAGAACTGACCTATTGGGCCTGTTTACATTTTTACTTGTAAACAGCAATTTCAGATTTCGGCTGGGAGCGGTGGCTCAAAGCTGTAATCCCAGCACTTTGAGAGGCCGAGGTGGGCAGATCACGAAGTAAGGAGTTTGAGACCAACCTGGCCAACATGGTGAAACCCCATCTCTACTAAAAATACAAAGATTAGCCTGGTGTGGTGGCTCGTACCTGTAATCCCAGCTACTCATGAGGCTGAGGCAGGAGAATCAGTTGAGGAAGGGAGGCAGAGGTTGCAGTGACCTGAGATCATGCCATTGCACTCCAGCCTGGGCAACAGAGTGAGAGTCCATCTCAAAAAAAATTAAATAAACAGCCATTTCAAAAAAGACCTTCTTACTCTGCTTATTATTGTAGATATTAGAGGAAACACTTATTGAGTGCTTAGGATGTGCTAGGCCCTGTGCTACCAGCCTTACTTATGTTATTTTGTTTGATCCCCACAGCAGCTCTGACAGGATGGTCCTGTTCATACCCCCATTTTACAGATGAAGACATTGGAGGGCCGGGTGCGGTAGCTCACGCCTGTAATCCTAGCACTTTGGGAGGCCAAGGCGGGCGGATCACGAGGTCAGGAGTTCGAGACCATCCTGGCCAACATGGTGAAACCCGTCTCTACTAAAAATACAAAAATTAACCGGGAGTGGTGGTGGGCGCCTGTAATCCCAGCTACTTGGGAGGCTGAGGTAGGAGAATCGCTTGAAACCAAAAGGCGGAGGTTGCAGTGAGCTAAGATCGTGCCACTGCACTCCAGCCTGGGCGAAAAGACTGAAACTCTGTCTCAAAAAAAAAAAAAAGAAAGAAAAGAAAAGAAATTGGGGCTTACTGAGGCTTACAAGACTTGCCCAGAATCCCACAGCCTGTCAGTGGTGGAGGCAGTTGACGACTGCACAGGCTAATGGCCTCCAAAGAGCCACCCAAAGAGCTGATGGCTCTGTCCTAGGTCCCTCCATCTCTGCTCTGGGTGAGGTCACATCTCAGCCCTGTCCCTGATCATCCTTCTGGATGACCCTTGGAGAGCCACTTAAAATCCCAGAGAGGCAGAACATCTGAGTTTTTTTCCCCAGCACTCTTTCCCAGTTTTTCTGGTCATGGCACCCCATTTTTCTTTAGGTACTCATGCCTCCTTTTCAGTACATTTGGTTCTGAAGGGGCTGACTCCACCCACTGGCTCCAGGGTGGGCCTGTGATCCAGGCCTGGCCAATTGATGCCCTGCATTTCCTGGCTACAATGATTGGCTCAGAGATGGGACCGTGACTCAGGCTGGGCCAATCAGAGGTGACTGTGGGACATATCTTGGAATTCTTGGCAAAGAGGTGCTCTCTCTGCCACTGGGGGGGGGGGAAGGCCACATGGGAATGGGGCCAAAACACACACACACACACACACACACACACACACACACACACACACACACACACAGAGCAAGAGACGAAGAGAAATAGCATCCCAATGACACTATGTGAGGCCTCAAATCCAGCTCTGCTTTGAACTCCTTAAGTGAACCCATATATTCCCCTTTTTTAGTTCGTTATTTTATTTTATTTTACTTTTTATTTATTTATTTATTTTTTGAGACGGAGTCTCGCTCTGTCTCCCAGGCTGGAGTGCAGTGGCGCGATCTCAGCTCACTGCAAGCTCCGCCTCCCGGGTTTACGCCATTCTCCTGCCTCAGCCTCCCGAGTAGCTGGGACTACAGGCGCCTGCCACCACGCCCGGCTATTTTTTTTTTTTTTTTTTGTATTTTTAGTAGAGACGGGGTTTCACCGTGTTAGCCAGGACGGTCTCGATCTCCTGACCTCGTGATCCGCCCGCCTCAGCCTCCCAAAGTGCTGGGATTACAAGCGTGAGCCACCGTGCCTGGCATGGTTCCTTCTTGATCCCCACCTCCCTCTCTATCCTCCAAATTCTGTATTAATTAGTTTCTCCCTAACAGAAAATTGGAAATAACCTGAAAGTCATTGAAGAATGGTTAAGTAAATTATATAGATCCATGCCACGAATGGCATATTGTATAGATATTAATGTAGTCTCTTGACACATTCCTAATCATTTCCATATTGAGTGAAAAAGGCAGTTATAAACTTATATGATAGCCTTTCTGAACGCTGTAAAAAAATGCTTAGAAGAAAGATTGGCTTTGGCTGGGTGTGGTGGCTCATGCCTGTAATCCCAACACTTTGGGAGGCCGAGGCGGGTAGATCACTTGAGGTCAGGAATTCGAGACCAGCCTGACCAACATGGTGAAACCCTGTCTCTACTAAAAATACAAAAATTAGCTGGGTGTTGTGGTGCGTGCCTGTAGTCCCAGCTACTCGGGAGGCTGAGGCAGGAGAATTGCTTGAATCCGGGAGGTGGAGGTGGAGGTTGCAGTGAGCAGAGATCGTGCCACTGCACTCCAGCCTGGCGACAGAGTAAGACTCCGTTTCAAATAAATAAATAAATAAATATAGGCCAGGAGCGGTGGCTCACGCCTGTAATCCCAACACTTTGGGAGGCTGAGGCGGGCAGATCACGAGGTCAGAGATCGAGACCACGGTGAAACCCCGTGTCTACTAAAAATACAAAAAATTAGGCGGGCACGGTGACCGGCGCCTGTAGTCTCAGCTACTCCAGAGGCTGAGGCAGGAGAATGGCATGAACCCGGGAGGTGGAGCTCTCAGTAAGCCGAGATCACGCCACTGCACTCCAGCCTGGGCGACAGAGCGAGACTCTGTCTCAAAAAAAAAAAGAAGGAACCAAAAGGTGATATCTGATTTGGTCCTTGAAGGGAGAATAGGAGTAGCTGTTTGCTGAGTTGAGTTCAAAGGGGTGGAGCTGGTCATTGAGAAAAGCATTCTTTCTTCATTAGCCTGTGGGCAGGGGGAAAGGTGAGGCTGGGGGCCTGGGAAACCATTATAATTGTCCAGAAGTTAAGTCAGACTGAACCAGGGCAGTGGAGGGGAAAGCGGACACATTTAGGTGGAATCTTTGAGCCTTGTTAGAAAGAATAGGCCAGGCATGCTGATCACATCTGTAATCCCAACACTTTGGAAGGCAGAGGCAGGAAGATTGCTTGAGGCCAGGAGTTCAAGACCCAGTCTCTATAAAACCATTAAACATTGAAAATTAGGCCAGGTGCAGTGGCTCACGCCTGTAATCCTAGCACTTTGGGAGGCCAAGGTGGGCGGATTGCCGGAGCTCAGGAGTTTGAGAACACCCTGGGCAACATGGTGAAACTCTGTCTCCATTAAAAAAATACAAAAAAAAATTAGCTGGTCGTAGTGGCGCGTGCCTATAATCCCATCTACTCGGGCGGCTGAGGCAGGAGAATCGCTTGAACCTGGGAGGTTGCAGGGAGTCGAGATCGCGCCACTGCACTCCAGCCTGGGCAACAGAGCAAGACTCTGTCAATAAATAAATAAATAAATAGAAAATTAGCTGAGCGTGATGGTATGCCCATGTAGTCCTAGCTACTTGGGAGGCAGAGGTGGAGGATTGCTTGAGCCCAGGAGTTTGAGGCTGCAATGAACTATGATCAAACCATTGCACCCCAGCCTGGGTGAGAGAGCAAAACCCAAGAAAGAAAGGATGGGTAGTTGCATGGAGGAGGGGTGAGAGGGAAGATAGCAAGGTAGGTGTTTATCTTCATTTTGGAAAACCTGAGTAAAGGTCTTGAGAGGGCTTTTTTCCTCCCACAGGGAGCACCAACTAGGGCCCCCAATACCACCTGCTGACCTGCCATATCACTCAGACCAGGTGACTTTCTGTCTTTGAGCCCCTTCCGGGCAACCAAGCCTAAAAATACCCACCACCTGCCTCTGTCCCCTGCCAGCCCGGGGCCTCTGTAAGTTGAGACCCAAGAGTGCCCCTAAGCAGAAACCAAGACCCTGAACTGAAAGCCCTGGAGGGGAAGTGTAAGTCAGGTTGTGTCTGGTCTGTAAGTGTCTTGTACTACACATTGCAGATATGGTGGGTAATTGGGACAAAGACTTCCTCCTGAAGGGGTTAGTGTGTAGGGAGGGAGAGCTGGGAAGTCATAAACAAGTTACAATGCAATTGATAAGCCTTACTCTTGTTAGGACAGACCCAGGCATGTCCTACCTGGGGCTGGGGAGGAATCGTTCTATAGGATTTTGCTATTACCAGATCTCTGGTCATGTTATACCTACTTTTGCGGGGGCATGTTCTCTATGCCAGACCCTGTACTAAGTACTGGGATTACATCAGAAAACAAAAAGGATACTTGGGAGGCACAGGCAAGAGTATCGCTTGAACCTGGGAGGTTGAGGCTGCAGTGAGCCAAAATTGCACCACTGCATTCCAGCTTGGGTGACAGAGTGAGACTCCATCTCAAACAACAACAACAACAAAAAAGCCAAAAAGGATGAAAATCTTTCTCTTCAGAATTTATTGGCCAGGCACACAGTGGCTCACACCCGTAATCTCAGCACTTTGAGTGGTCTAGACGGGCAATTGCTTTGAGCCCAGGAGTTTGAGGCCAGCCCTGGCAACATAGCGAAACCCCATCTCTACAAAAAAAAAAAAAAAAAAAAAAAAATACAAAAATTAGCCTGGTATGGTGGCACATGCCTATAATCCCAGCTAACCAGGAGGCTGAGGTGGGAGGATCACTTGAGCCTGAGTGGCGGATGTTGCAGTGACCTGAGATTGTGCCACTGCACTCCAGCCTGGGTGACAGAGACTGTCTCAAAAACAAAAAAACAAAACCGAAAAATTTTGTGTTCTACTAGAAGAAGACACACAGGGAAACAGGCAAACTATATAATATGATAGAAATGAAGTGACAGGGTGGCTCACGCCTGTAATCCCAGCACTTTGGGAGGCTGAGGCAGGCGGATCACGAAGTCAGGAGATCGAGACCATCCTGGCTAACGCGGTGAAACCCCGTCTCTACTAAAAATACAAAAAATTAGCCAGGCATGGTGGTGGGCGCCTGTAGTCCCAGCTACTCTGAGGCTGAGGCAGGAGAATGGCATGAACCCGGGAGGCGGAGCTTGCAGTGAGCCGAGATAGCACCATTGCACTCCAGCCTGGGTGACAGAGCGAGACTCCGCTTCAAAAAAAAAAAGAAAGAAAGAAAGAAATGAAGTGACAGGGAAAGTAGGGCACGGTAAAGGGAAATACAGAGTGCATGTGAGGGGTCTGGTAGTTTTACTAGGGGTGCTCACAGCAGGCCTCACTAAGTGGAGGACATTCGAGCAAACCCTTGAAGAAGGTGATGGAGGAGCCATTCAGGTATCTGGGGAAACAGCGATCGCAGCAGAGGGAACAGCTAGTGCAGGGGGCTCGGGGCTGAGTGTGCTCAGCTTGTTCTAGGAACAGCAAGGGATCAGTGTGGAGGGAAAGGGTAAGAGATGAATGAGATCAGGAATCCCCAGGAGAGTAGAATGTCAGATCAAGTGTTTGTAAGGACTTGTAAGGCTTTTACTTAGAGCGAAACAGTGAGCCAATGGAGGGTTTTGAGCAAAAAAGTACCATGTTTTGACTTCGATTTTATTTTATTTTTTGAGACAGATTCTCATTTTGTCACCCAGGTTGGTGTGCATTGGCACGATCTTGGCTCACCACAACCCAACCTCCGCCTCCCGGGTTCAAGCAATTCTCATGCCTCCAGAGTAGCTGGGACTACAGGCATGTACCACCACACCCAGCTAATTTTTGTATTTTTAGCAGAGACAAGGTTTCACCATATTGGCCAGGCTGGTCTGTAACTCCTGGCCTTAAATGAGCCACCCGACCTCACAAAGTGCTGGGATTACAGGCGTGAGCCACCGTGCCCGGCAGATTTTAAAAGAATCTTGGCTGGGCGTGGTGGCTCACGCCTGTAATCCCAGCACTTTGGGAGGCCGAGGCAGGCGGATCACAAGGTCAGGAGATCAAGACCATCCTGGCTAACGCGGTGAAACCCCGTCTCTACTAAAAATACAAAAAATTAGCTGGGCATGGTGGCGGGCGCCTGTAGTCCCAGCTACTCGGGAGGCTGAGGCAGGAGAATGGCGTGAACCCGGGAGGCGGAGCTTGCAGTGAGCCGAGATCGCGCCACTGCACTCCAGCCTGGGCAACTTTGAGACAAAGAGCGAGACTTTGTCTCAAAAAGAAAAAAGAGAAAAAAAAAAAAGGATCTCCCTCACCCCTGAATTGATAGAATGGATCAGAGGGCAAGGCTGGAACAAGGGAGAGGGGTTAGCAGAACTCTGCAATAATCCTGTGCAAATACTGGACCAGGGTGGTAGCACTGGAGGAGGAGTGGCAGACATCTGAGTCTAGATCTATTTTGCAGGTAGAGCCAACAGGATCTCCTGCCTGCCTTATTGGGTAGCGGGCAGAAGGGGGGCATTCATTCACAGCTGACTCCGAGTTCTGGCCTGGGGACTGGAAGGATGGAATTGTCAACAGCTGATGGAGGCAAAGCTGAGAGGGAGCAGGTTTTTGTGTGTGGAAGTGGGGTTGGCTCAGCTCAGACACGCTGACTTTGAGATGCCTGCTGGAGCTCCAAGGAAGAGGTGTTGGGTAGACAGTTCAGGCGAGGAGTCTGGAGACATAAATACATTTGGGGATCTTGAGCACATCAATGCCAGAACTTAATTGCATTTTATCTTGTTCAGTTAACCTAGGTGATGTCTGGACCGGCAAACAGAAATGGACTAGGCGGCTTGAACCCTATCTGAAGACTTTTGCTAGTTCGGCAGCCTAGAGCCAGACGGGGCAAGAAAGAATCGCTGCTAAGCGGAGTGGGAAAAAAAGGCCTCTTTCAGTGCTTTGCCATTTCATCTGGCCTAATTGCACACAACACTCGGTCCACGTTCATTCCACAATTCCACACGCATCCTTCACTCAACAAATAGCCATTGTATTTCGTTTCATCTTCAAAACAGGCTCAAATGGAGGAAATTAGGGTTAAAAGAAGTGAAGCACCAGCGAGGGTCAGGGGCAGAGATCGCAGCCCAGAAAGCTCTCGCGGTTGGGGGCCGGTCGTAGCTGGTTTTGTGAGTGGCAAGAGAACCCGGGTCGCGCCCCAACCCGCGGGGCGGCGGGCTGGGGTTCGGGGCGGCGGGCTGGGGTTCGGGGCGCGGCCCCTTTAAGGCCCAGGCAGTGATCTCAGCCGCGTCCGCCGCCCCGCCCTCCCCGGCGGCGAGCCCAGAGCGCATGCGCGCCGCGGCTGCACTCCACTGGGCCCGGGACGCGCCGGCGGCGGCGGAGACTCCGGGGCTGCGGCGCCGCCCGCCCCGCCCGCAGAGTCCGGCTGCCGCGCATCGTCCGCAGACGCCGCCACCGCCATGGGCTCCTGAGGTATCCCGCCTGGCCGGCCTCGCCCGGGAGCCCCAAGGGGGAGCTGCGACTCCCGAGCGCGGGGGGCTGCTTGTTTCGGAGAGGCCCGCGCGAGGGACGCCCGGCTTCGGCCGCCGGCTCCCGGGCGGGGAGGGCACTACGGAGGCCGGTGCGGCCGCGGAGGGAGGGGGCATCCGTCTCCCCACCCGTGCCTCCTCTCCGCCCCGCGAGGTCGCCCGTGGGTGTGCCCGCTCCCTTTCCACGCCAACGTGGCGGGGGCAGCTCCTGGAGTGTAATCGGACCTGTCCGGGGGGCGGCCCCGGGAGAGGGAGGCGGATGGACCAAGGCGCTTTGCAAGAGGGATTGTGTGCTCCCGGGTGGGTGTGCTGGCGACTGGCACGGCCGAGTGAGTGGGGGAGGCGTCCGTGCCCTGTGCGGGTGGCAGTGACCTGGGAGGGTGGTCGGCGGGGGGCTTTCGGGGCTGCGTCGTGAGTGGAGGGTGTACACGCCCGCCACACAGGTCCGCAGGTTTGGAAGGGGATCGACTGGGACCTGGGGCTCGAAAGATGTTTGCCCCCAAAGGGACCGTGGAGACTGGTTTTGGGTGTCTGTATCCTTCCCGTGAATTGTACATTTCCTCCTGGGCACACCCTTGGTACCTCGCTTGGATCCACTTACCTCCAGTGCTGGGTGGCTCCAGGCCAAGGCAAGGCAGTTATGCTGGGGGTTGGGCATGGATTCCCAATACATATCCCCTCTGGAGGTGTTGTATAAGGCCAGACGTTTTACTCCTCCCTCCTTTCCAGGGCATTTTGGGGCAAAGCAGGTATTTGCATGCCTGATACCTGTGGTGAGGTGAAGGCCATGTATTATTTATCTGACTGCTGGTGCTTTTGTAAGGAAAGAAGCAGCAATCTGTGCCCTGGAGGCCCTGCGCTGCAGAGTCAGCCAGGCAAACAAGCTCACCTGCACCTGCAGAGGCAGCGCAGGTCTCAGAGGTGTGACTTCGTTGACAGGTTATGCCTACAGTGTCCCTTTCCATCTACCTATTTAGCTTCCTTGGTAGAACCCCTAGGCTCTGCACCTCTGAACCTTGCCTAGGGTGCTGTGCGTATCAGAGTTGGGACCTGGGACGCTGGGGTGGGAGAGCCCCAGCAGCCAGGTATGTGTGCCCACCTGGACAGAAACATTTGATGCCCAAGCCATCAAGGAGCTCTCAAGCATGGGGGAATCAGATTTGGAAACAGGTGATCACGATGATGTGAAAAATACCAAACAAAGGAGTAGAAGGAGTACAGAGGCAGGTTCAGTTCCCGGGGAGGGGGATCGTGGCCGCAGGAAAGACTCCCTCATAAGGAGACGGTTGAGCTGAAGCCTGAAGGATGACTGACGTTCATCTGAGGCTTTTCTGCTTTCCACATATATTTTCCTGTGTAATTTGCACAGCAGCTGTGTGAGTAAGGAACAGTTGTCCCTATTTGCAGATGCGGTAAACTGAGGCCCAGAGGGAATTCATGACGTTCTTCTCCACGATACGTGGCAAGCCTGGATGGAATCATCCTTTAACCAGGACCTCTCTCTTGCTGCCAGATCTTGTCTTGCAACTTACTGAGCATCTACTATGTGCCAGGCACTATGCTGGGGCATAGCGGTCTGATGATCAATGGGACCTGGTGCCTGCCTTCTAGGGGCTCCCAGTGCTGGGAAGATGGACACTGATTTAGTGACCCCAATCTGGATACGAGGCTCCAATAGCTAATGTGGGTGGAGAAGGCGCTGTGAATTCCCCCAAAGCATTTGTGCAGTCGTTGGGATTCTGGATGTCTTATTTGTTGCACCCACGGTGGTGGTGGGTTATTCAAAGAGCCCCTTCTGAATTTCTCCAACCAAGTAGAAAGAAGAGCTTCGAGGCAGAAGGGTGAATGAGCCACTTGTCCTAGTTCTTTCCTATTGGCCGAGTTCTGTGAGCAGGGGCTTCTGTCCGGAGGCTGTTTGCTCCCTCTCTGTCTTAGAGGTTTTGCTCCTGGTCTCTGGCTGGCCTGCCCAGTCCCTCACCCTGAGAAGGGCTCAGAGCTATTTCCAGTCCCTGCTGTGCTCATTTTCTCTCTGTAAATTCCCTGGAGTGGAAACAGCCCCGGCAAGGCAGGGTACAGCTTTTTATTGTTTTGAAAACGAGTCACAGCTCTGGGCCTTTAGACTGGGGATCTGGTGTGGGAGTTCTGGAAGGCCAATAGCTGGGCCCCTGGGAGAGCTCTGTGTGGGGTCTGCACCAGGCCCTGCAGCCCCGGGTAGTAAGCACTCACCGAAGACCATGCTGCCCTGCACTGTGCTGGGGCAGCCCTCTAAAAGGTGGTTGGCAGAGGGAGCCCAATGTGTAACAAATATGTGCAAGACAGTGCCCTACTTGTGGTGGAAACAGAGGGCCCTAAAGGGGCCCAGAGGACAATAGGAACAACAGTCCGTTTATTGAGCACTTACTGTGTGCCAGGCACAGTTCAAAGCGCTTTCATGAATTACTGTATTTAATTTTCCTACCACCCAGTGTGGTGGGGGCTGTCACTGTCTGCATTTTGTAGGGGAGGCAGCAGAGAGTGGAACAGCTGAGTTTTGAACCAGTAGGTCTGACCTCAGAGCCCATGCTCCTCCCCCATAACCCTGGGGTGCTGGAAGTCGTCTTGGCCCTGAAGGACGAGGGGTGCTCCACCTATGAAGGAGAAGGAGGGCGTTCCAGGTAGAGGGAACTCCGGGCAGATGTGGAGGTCTGAGCTGCCTCACCTCTCAGACGCAGAGGCTTGAACTGCCTGTGACTGTGTTGGGTCTGTGTCCTGAAGACCTTTGGAGGCCCCGCCAAGGAGTTTGAACTTGATCCTGATGTCAACAGGGAGGCCTTGAAAGTTTCTGGAAGGATGTGACATGCTCAGCCATGTGTTATGGGGCAGTATTACCATCCCTTCTCATCCCTCCTTCATTCCTGCAGAGAACTTCTGGAAGACCAGGCCTTTGTTCCGTTGGCTTTCCTACAGCCCCTGGCATCGCTTTTAGACCCCGCCGCCTTTCTCTTGTTGTCTTCTAGCAGCTTTTGGTCTTGAAGACCCTGTGTGACTCAGGGCAGGTTCTGGAGCCCACTGTTGTAACGGTGTCTGCCCCACTGCTGACCCCTTGCCTGCTGGGAACTGGCTTCTCTGAGCTGGAACTTTTTTTGTTTTTTGAGATGGAGTCTCGCTCTGTTGCCCAGCTTGGCATGCAGTGGTGCTATCGTAGCTTGCTGCAGCTTCTACCTCCTGGGCCCAGGAGATCCTTCCACCTTGGCCTTCTAAAGCGCTGAGATTATAGGTGTGAACCACCATGCCTGGTCAGCTGGAACTTTTTTTTCTTTTAAGACAGAGTCTTAGGCTGGGCGTGGTGGCTCATGCCTGTAATCCAAGCTTTGGGAGGCTGAGGTGGGCAGGTCGCCTGAGGTCAGGAATTTGAGACCAGCCTGGCCAACACAGTGAAACCCAGTCTCTACTAAAAAAAATTTGCCAGGCATGGTGGCACACACCTATAATCCCAGCTACTTGGGAGGCTAAGGCAGGAGAATTGCTTTAATCCGGGAGGCGGAGGTTACAGTGAGCTGAGATAGTGCCACTACACTCCAGTCTGGTGGGTGATAGAACAAGACTCCGTCTTAAAAAGAAATGGTCACTAGGAGCACGGGAGGAGGAGGGAGAGAGGGAGGTAATGCGCTGAGCAGTTCTGGTGACCCAGAGAGAGAATTGGGAGATGCAATTTAAATCTGTGCGCTTATTAGCCCTGTGGCCTTGGGCAAGATGCTTACCAGGTTCTAATTCCTGCTGTTTAAAAATAGGGGGCAAATGATTCACTTTCCTTCATCTGTAAGATGGGAGTAATAACAGTGTGGCTGTCACGTGGCTGGCCTGACCAATGTCTGATGGAGCTCAGCACGGTACCTGGCACACAGGACATGCTTTTATTATGACCTTACAGGCCCATTCATTTATTTGAGAAGGAGGCATCGCAGGCCTGTGTGCCAGGCTGTTTGCGGGGAGCCGCCCTCAGGAGCCGAGTGCAGCTGGGGAGAGAGAAATCAGACACACAAGCAATTATGATTGTCCTGGGGGCTCTTAGGGAACCTTAGGCCATTGTCGCCTGGGCGGGCACTTGTCTAGTGAGGTGATGTGTATTAAGGTGGAGGAAGAAGTGGGCTCCAGGTAGAAGGAAGAGCACATGCAAAGCAGAGGTCTGAGTTCATGTCTATGGAGTTGTTTGATACTAAGTCTCAGCACTTAGTAGACCTGAAATAAATGTTTGCTGAATGCCATCTCCTCAGCCTCAGAGAGGACAGAAACGGGAAGAGGTAGAGTGGGAGGCGGCCACAGAGAGAAGAATTGAAGGGTCACCCAAGTTGTAGATTTTCTCATCATTCCCTCCCCTTGGCCTCCGTCTCTGTGGAAAAGCAGGTACTAATGTGGTGCAGGTACTAACAGTGCGTCTGAGTCTGCCAGAATTCTTTCTTTTTTTTTTTTTTTTGAGACAGGGTCTCCCTCTGTTGCCCAGGCTGGAGTGCAGTGGCAGGATCTCGGCTCACTGCAACCTCCGCCTCCTGGGTGATTCTCGTGCCTCAGCCTCCCAAGTAGCGGGGATTACAGGCACCCACCATCATGCCTGGCTAATTTTTGTATTTTTAGTAGAGATGGGGTTTCACCATGTTAGCCAAGCTGGTCTCGAACTCCTGACCTTGTGATCTGCCCGCCTTGGCCTCCCAAAGTGTTGGGATTACAGGTGTGAGCCACTCTGCCCGGCCTCCGCCAGCATTCTTACCGGGCACTCATTCCCAAATTGCTTGTCCTCAGCACTGGAGAGGATAAATCTAAATGCAGAGGTGGCTGACAGCTGGAATTAGGCGGACACCCAGGTAGCATTTGTTCACGTGTCTATTTGCTGCTGTTTTAGGGTGGCTGAAGCCCTATGCTTGGGTATGGCATAGAAGGATGGTGCGTGGCTTCTGGTTGGTGACTTTTCTAGTCTTAGGTTAATCATGGCTCAGTGTCTGGCGAAATGTACACAGTAGGTAGTGAAGTGGTTTTTGAATAAACAAATGAATGGTTGGATGGGTTTGTGGCACTGCCACTCAGGATAAAGCTATAATTATTCTTGAAAAATGACGGATATGGCTAGGTGCGGTGGCTCACACCTGTAATCCCAGTACTTTGGGAGGCCGAGGTGGGCAGATCACTTGAGCTCAGGAATTGGAGACCAGCCTGGCCAACATGGTGAAACCCCGTCTCTACTAAAAATACAAAAATCAGCCAGGTGTGGTGGCATGTGCCTGTAAACCCAGCTACTTGGGAGGCTGAGGCAGGAGAATTGCCTGAACCTGGGAGGCGGAGGTTGCAGTGAGCTGAGACTACGCCATTGCACTCCAGCCTGGGTGACAGCGAAACTCCATCTCAAAAAAAAAAAAAAAAAGATATTAGGGGTGGTTGGAACAGGATTGGTTATTCCAGGAGCCGGTGGTGCTCACTAAACAGCCTTGAGTCTGGCTGGCTGGTGTGGGAGGTCTTAGGCCTGTGATGGGAGACAGGAAGCTTGGTGGACACCTCCTTTTCCTTCTCTGGGGTGGAAACCACAGGGGAAGATCCACCCAGAAAGCCTTTGTGCTGAACCTGCGTCACTTCCAGCTCAACCATGTTTTACAAAGTCACATCCCACTAAGTGAATATTTGGTGAAAAGTTTGCCACGTTGATCTCAGTCTTGTACCTTTGAAAAACAATAGGCTTCTCTGAGATTAGAAGTAGTACTTGTTTTTTTTTTTTTTTTGAGACAGAGTTTTGCTCTGTCGCCCAGGCAGACAGTGCAGTGGTGCGATTTCGGCTCACTGCAAGCTCCGCTTCCCGGGTTCAAGCCATTCTCCTGCCTCAGCCTCCCGAGTAGCTGGGAGTACAGGCACCTGCCACGGCGCCCGGCTAATTTTTTGTATTTTTAGTAGAGGCAGGATTTCACCGTGTTAGCCAGGATGGTCTCGATCTTCTGACCTCTTGATCCACCCGCCTCGGCCTCCCAAAGTGCTGGGATTACAGGCGTGAGCCACCGTACCCGGCCGTACTTGTTGATAGTAAACTTGAAGCACAGGAAAGATTGGGGATAAGAATAAAAATTACCCCAAATTTCCAAATCAAGAAGTAATCATGGTTCAGGTTTGGGCAGATGTTCTTTCTAGGCATGAACACACGTTATCTCATTGTTTACTTAACACCGGGTTATAAACATTTACCCATAGCATTTGAAAGGTAGCTATAGATAGAAAAGAATCAGAGAAGTTCTAAAACAGCTCTTGCGCTTTGTTTCAAATTCTCTGCAGGAAAGATGAGGTCTTCAGCCTTTTTTTTAGCTGGACGGCACCGTTGCAGCAGTGGTGAACAGGGCACTGGATTGAGTCAGGAAACCCAGCTGTGACCTTGGGCAAGCCACTTGCCCTCTTTGAGCTTCACTCCTGCTAAGGCAAGGGGCGCTATTCGTACCCTGTCTGCCCACCTCACAGGCTCTGGTGAAGTCCTTGATTTGAACGCCTTTAGCTCCCAAGGTTGTGGTTTGGAGATAGGGCAGGTCACATGACCATGAAGACTGAAGGAGAAACGTGGAAGCACGTGTGCCTGTTGCTTCTTTTCCAACTTAAAATGCTTGGTGATCTCCTGAAGACTCCAGCCTCCTCTCTGGGAAGCCAGGATCCACAGACCCTTTACCTGCGGGTCATGGGCAGTCCCAGATGGTCCCCCTCCCCAACAGAGGGGGTGCAGTGAGACCTCCGGAAGTTACTGCCTCTGTTACCCTCAAAGGGATTTTCAGATCAGACAGCCCCCCTACTCCAAGGGACGTGTGTGGAGCTTGGTACCTTTATTTATCTCCTGCTCCAACCCCTGTGGACTGCCTGCACCCAGAATGGGGCCTCTCCTGCTGGCAAGTGGCTGAGAACCTCCACTCCACTCAGCAGGGCTGTTCCCCATTTACCGAAAAGCTCCGAGAGAAAATAACTAACCCCATGGCGCCGCTGTAGCTACTGGCAGAGCCTCCTGGTCCCCACCTCTAGCGCCTGTGGTTTTTGTTTCATGCAGAGTGAGCAGTGAATCTGGGATCCCATCAGCAGTCAGTTTGGGTGCCTGCGAGGCACAATGATAGATGTTGGTGAAGGGTATGTGTGAGGATATTAATTAATATTAACATGCTAGTTATATTAATATTCTCATTGGAATTTGTGGGGCTTTGCAAGTTATATTTCAAATATATGGTTTTATGTAATCCTTTTAACTGCCCTGAAACCTTGAAATTATTGCACCTATTTTATAGATGGAGAGACTGAGGCTCAGAGGGGTGAATTGCCTAAGATCCTGGGGGAGGAAGCACCCAGGTTTTCTGGTTTTGAGTCCTGGGCCCTTCCTGCTGAGTAGCTACCCCCAACACAGACCTGCCCTTGGAGAGCTTGCAGCCACACTGGGAAGGCCAGTGTATTGGATTGCTGCTTAGACCTGGAAAGCACGTGAATAAAGCTTCAGGTTAAAACCATGGGGGTTCCAGGAGGCAGCAGTCGGCTCTGCCTGGGGGTGAGCTGAGGAGCCGGTGCTCTCTGGAACAAGGGTAGTTGGGCTGAGGCTCAGTGGACAGTGGAGGTTGGCAGGTGAAGTGCAGGAGGTCTTTGCAGGGAGTGGGACCACCTTGAGCACACACAGAGGAATGAGACAGGCAGGTTACTCAAGGAGCAGAGGTCTCGTGACCACTTCCCAGAGCATGTGGGGTCCTAGCCTCATCTCCAGGAGGAGAAAGTGCATCTATACACAGATTTGTCAATGGAGTTTAAATAGGATGTGGGAAAATCTAGATTTTCCAAAACAGTACATATTTGCTTTGAGAAGAAAGGTAGATGCAGGATGCATAGGTTAGATAATTTTAATAGCAGTAACCTCAGAGCATGTAAGTATGATTTGATTTACTGGAGTGCCTGGCCGTCTCAGTCAGTGGGAGCACGGCTTGGGCTGGGAGATGAGGTTGACAAGGGTTCTTTCTCTCAAATGCTTCCTTTGGTTTGCTAAGAGGTATCTCCTACTCGGCCGGGGGCAGAAGACTTTTCCTTCTTTTCCCAGTTTGCAGTAGTTGGGCCAGATTTGTGGAAGTGGGAGAAAGGCCTGCCCTGCTTCTACATAGAGTTGGCTGTCCTGACTTGATACTCGGTGTGCCTTCCAGAGACCCGCCTCCATCTCCTCAACTCCCTGGCTTGATGCTTAGGTGGTGATGGCTGTTGGGCACAGGAGTTACATAACAGATCTGTGATGGACCCAGGAGCAGAGCCAGCTGAGTGAATGTCATGGAGTGGGAGTGGTCTTGCATGGCTGTGGTGTCCCCTGCAGCTTGTGCAGGGTATGTGGCAAGAGGTGCTCACCACTCATCTGGAATGGCTAGACTGGAAGCACTTGGCCCTCTTGGGCTCTGCACCCCCACCCCCTCCCACCTGGCCTGCCTGCTCATCTTCATGGGCGCCTGGGGAGACCAATTATGGCTGCTTGTCATAGTGGCTCAGGTCACCGTTCACACTTCCTGGGACCAGGACATCAGAGCCCTGAGAAGGGTCAAGGGGCCAAGTGGGCCTAGCCTTTTACTGACAGCTGGGAAATGCAAGCGTGTGGACCAGAGCACCAAGTGAGTTGGGGCCGGTGTGGGTTCAGCACCGTGTCCCTACCCAGAGCTCCATTTGTTGAAAACAGCCTTTCTCTACCGTTTCTTCACTTGGACAACTTTAAACTATGTATTGGCTGGTCGCGGTGGCTCACGCCTGTAATCCCAGCACTTTGGGAGGCCGAGGTGGGCAGGTAACTTGAGGTCAGGAGGTCGAGACCAGCCTGGCCAACATGGTGAAACCTCATCTCTACTAAAAATACAAAAATTAGCCCAGCGTGGTGACACGCACCTGTAATCCCAGCTACTCGGGAGGCTGAGGCAGAAGAATCGCTTGAACTTGGGAGGCAAAGATTGCAGTGAGCTGAGATTGCATCACCGCACTTCAGCCTGGGAGACAGAGCGAGACTGCATCTCAAAAAACAAACAGAAACCTACATATTTTCTATATTTCCCCCAACATTGAGGCTCATTTCTTGGATGAACAATTTAAATGTACTGTGCCTCTCTGGCAATATTTTCCAAAATTACAGATGTTTCTATACTTTCACCGGCAGCTCTGCCTCCCAGAATTTATTCTACGGATGGGTTAACACGTGTGCAAAATGATTTATTTGCAAGGTTCGTCATTGTTGCCTTATTTTTAATAGCAAAAGATTGGAGGCAGCTTAAATGTTCATTCGCAGGGGCCAATGAACAAACCATGGCCCGTCTAAACATGGGATACCGCGTGGCCATAATACATAAGATGGACGCTCAACGCACTGTGCCGGATTGAGCAGCAAGGTGGATTGCCGAGGGAAGAAGCAGGTCTGGGCGGTGTGTCTCGGAGCTGCCATCAGTGTAAAAGGGAAGAGAATCAAAAGTGTCTTTGCTTGTCTATGCCCAGGGGGTCTCTGGGCAGACACCGCAAGTCGGTGATTGTGATGCCTCTGGAGGGGGTGCTGGTCATGGGAGATTGCTTGTTTGCTGGAGATCCCATGTACCTTTTGATTGCTGAAGCAGGTGAATGTACGCCTTTCCAAGAAATTAAAATGGGCCAGGTGCGGTGGCTCACGCCTGTAATCCCAGCAGTTTGGGAGGCTGATGTTGGAGGATCACTTGAGGTGAGGGGTTCGAGACCAGCCTGGCCAACATGATGAAACCCCATCTCCACTAAAAATACACAAATTAGCCAGACATGGTGGTACATGCCTGTAATCCCAGCTGCTCTAGAGGCTGAGGCAGGAGAATCATGTGAACCCTAGAGGCTGAGTTTACAGTGAGCCAAGATCATGCCATTGTACTCCAGCCTGAGCTACAGAGCGAGACTCTGTCTCAAATAATAAAATAAAATAAATTAAAAACATAAGGACTGTAACCTTGCCTCCTGCCCAGTGTAGGAAGGTCAAGGTTCTGGCTACTTCTCAAGTACAGGAGCCTCACTCAGGCCCCAGACCACTAATCAAAAAATATGTGCTTGGTTCTCACAAAGGGGCCGAGTGTGAGGGCTTGGGTGTTGCTTGGTAAATACGACCCCCGGTCCCGGCCTTGGAGAGATGGAGCCCTCTCTGGGCCCCTTGGACACACTGCTGTTGGCTGACTTTGTCATTTTCAACCCTTGCTCCGATTGGCTCACGTCATGATTTCTGAAACCTTTGGGGGCTTCCCCACTGACAGAAAGATACACTTTAACTCAGCACTGGGCATCCCAGGCCCTCTTTACTGGGCCTCTTCTTGAGCCGCACTTGGCCTGTCACCCCTTCCTCTGTCTGCCCTCTTAACTCCCCACCTCCGTGCCTTTGCTCATATAGTTCCCTTTGCCTGCCTTTCCGTCCAGAGCAGTCTCCACGTGCCCAGGTCCTGTCTGACTTTCAAGGGCCAGCTTAGTTTCCACTTCTGCACTGCCTTCTGACCTCCCTGGCTTCTGTGTAAACTGCCCAGATCAAGCCACACAATGGTTCCTGCACCCAAGGAAGCTCCCTGGGGCCCCCTCCTGGCCACTCGCTCTTCGCCGGTAGTCACCACTCACACCTTGGCACTTTCGCGTGGTGCCTGCCGCTGCCTGTTTGGGCCTCCCACACACAGAGTGTACAGAACGGACTCCTCGGTGTCTGGCTGCCTTCCCGCAGCACTGTCAGATCATCCAGGTTGCCTGTAGTGGCCCTTTGGTTTTTTTCTCTGCTGCGTAGGAGTTCACCAAATATACCACTATTTATTCATTCTCCTGTGGACAGGCATTGGGTTATGTCCAGCCTCTTCGGTGAATTCATTCTTGTCTTTGGGGGCGCGTGTGCGCTCTTTGCTGGGTATACACCCAGGGTGGGTTGATGGCTTACCTGACTCAGAATGTGTTTGCATGAATGAAATTCAGGTTGGTATGAGAAATCTAGGGTGTCCTGGCTGGAGCCAGGCTTCTTGATTACAGGGACAGAGCAGGTACAGGGATCCTGGTTTAGACAGCCTGCTCCCATGGGGTGGTAGCATTGTTGGGGTGCAGGATGCTGAATCTGCAGGGGACCTATCCGCTCAGTGCCCAGTGGGATTTTAGCTGGCTGGAAAGGTGGTCACATGTAGAGGGGCTCAACAATCCAGCTAAAGAGGCTGAGCGTTGGTCCATTGTTCTCAATTTGAGAGAAAACTGAGATCATCAAAATTAGGACTGGTATGTACTAAAGGAAAGAACCTAATTACAAGGCTGAATTGAGTAAGCCCTCGCTGAGGGACTTTGGATTTCTTTGTTGTTCCCCTTTATTTCTGCACCCCCACCCAAGTGACAGATATGTACATGATTGGATGATTTTGCTTTCCTGGTTGAGAGATTCCTGGGAACTTGGCCCAGGAGAAGGGGGAGAAATGTGGAGCCGCTAGAGTGGCCTCCGCTTGTTTGTGTTGATTGAAGGGGAGACGGAAGGAGAGCTGTGGACCCCTGACCCCTTGTGAGGGCATGTGATCCTTTTCAAAAGGCTCACCAGGCAGAAGTGCCTGGCCAGGGGCCGCTCTTTCCCTCTAATCCCCTCTGGAGAAGGGCCAGGCTGTGGGTTGCTGACCTGCTCTGATGTGGATCAGCCTCCCCCAATAATGCAGCTGCCCAGAAGCTCAGAGAGCCCAGGCAACCCCCAAAGGCAGGAGGGCCGGCTGTCATTCCCGTTGTCATTCCCAGGCGGCTGGAGTGGGAGCAGAGCGGTCAGTTCAGATGAACAGTGCTCGAGTCTGACCCCAACCAGCGAGTTATGGTAAGATGGAAGGTTCTCCATCTATATTAAATAAGAGAACAAAAGCCCTCCCAGGCTGCATGAATATTCCAGGGATATATATGTGAACGGGTTGCCAGTTTAGCTTGGCCTGTGGGTGGCAGCCGCCTGAGTGAGCACTTCGTGGCTGCAGCTCTAAAGGGTTTGGATCTGAAACTAATGAATGAAAATATGACCTCAGAAGATTTAAAGAGAGCAAATACCCAGCAACAGAACCTGGGTCCCAGAGACTGTTGGGAGCATGAAATCCCAGGCTGGCCGAAGGAGGAAGTGGGAGAGCAATGGCAGCTGACATCACATGGTGCCAGACCTTCTCAGTGCTTTCTGTGTTCACTCATTATTCCGTCCCTCTCTCTCAGAGGCAGGTATGGCTGCTTCCCCATTTTATAGATGAGGAAGCTAAGGCAAGGAGAGGTTGTGTAACTTGCTCACAGACACAAAGCTAGCCAGTGGCAAAGCTGGAGGTCAGGTCTAGGTGGTCAGGCTCCAGAGTTCTGCGGATTTCACAGCACGGCAGTGGCAGTCGGAAGAACCATTTGTCAGGTGATTGTGGGCAAATGACGTCAGCCCTTCAAACCTCTGTTTTGCATCTGCAAGCTGCTTGCTGCTGCAACAAATTACCAGAAACTTAGTGACTTAAAACACAAATTAGGTCGGGTGCGGTGGCTCACATCTGTAATCCCAGCACTTTGGGAGGCTGAGGTGAGTGGATCACTTGAGGTCAGGAGTTCGAGACCAGCCTGGCCAACATGATGAAACCCTGTCTCTAACAAAAATATAAAAAATTAGCCAGGCATTTGGCCGGGTGTGGTGGATCACGCCTGTAATCCCAGAACTTTGGGAGGACAAGGTGGGCGGAACACAAGGTCAGGAGTTCAAGACCAGCCTGACCAATATGGTGAAAGCCTGTCTCTACTAAGAATACAAAATTAGCAGGACGTGGTGGCACGCGCCTGTAGTCCCAGTTACTGGGAGGCGGAGGTTGCAGTGAGCCAAGATCACGCCACTGCACTCCAGCCTGGGTGACAGAGTGAGACTCCGTCTCACAAAAAAAAAAAAAAAAAAAAGCCAGGCGTGGTGGCACGTGCCTGTAACCCCAGCTACTCTGGAGGCTGAGGTGGGAGAATTGCTTGAACCCAGGAGGCAGAGGTTGCAGTGAGCCGAGATCGCACCACTGCACTCCAGCCTGGGCCACAGAGTGAGACTCCTTCTCAAAAACAAAACAAACACAAATTATAGATTACTTACAATAAGAAAAACCAATAAAATGCATGCGCACACATTAATTATCTCACAGTTTTGGAGGTCAGGTCCAGAATGTGTTTCACTGGACTAAAATCGAGGTGTTGGCAGGGCCATACTCCTTCTGGAGGCTCTGGGGGAGAATTATTTCCCTGCCTCTTCCAGCTCCTAGAGACCACCTCCATCTGTGGCTTGTGGCGCCTTTCGCCATCTGCAAGGGCAGCAGCGTAGCAGCTTCCACTTTCCTCTCTCTGCTTCCTTTGTCACGCTGCCCTCTTCTCGCTCTCTACCTCCTGCCTTCCTCCTACGAGGACCCTTGTGATGACATGGGCCCACCCAGGTTATCCAGGATAATCTCTCATTTCAGGACCCTTAATTCAGTCACTTCTGCAAAGTCCCTTTTGCCATGTAAGGTAGCATGTTCACAGGCTCTGGGGGTTAGGATGTCAACATCTTTGGGGGATTATTCTTCAGCCTACCACACAGCACATAATAAAATCCATGGGCAGAGGGGATAGCAGCAGTAAGGTGTCCCTCAAACATGAGTTAAAATGACTCTGACGATAGAATCTGGGTGAGATGGTGGGATGCTCCCGAAATAAACTCCAAGGCAGGTGGCCAAGTTCAGTGACGACATAGCTGCGTAGCTTATCTGAGAAAGGATGTCTCTGATGGGGGGCCAGCCGGAAGACGTCTTTCCTGGAAGAGGAGGGAGGTGGGGCAGTCTTGGGAGAAGTGAGACTTTGGGTCCCACGGCCAGCTCCTGCCACATTCTCAGTGGATTTCAGGTTGGGAGGAGGGATACCATTACAGTTGAAAATAAACATAGAAATAAACGACACTGGATGTCTGCTTCCTCATCAGCCTCCCTACAGTTCTGGAAGACGGTCCAGGCCCACATCCCCTTCTCTGCTGTTCTAGAATTCAGAACGCTCAGAAATCCCAAAGGTTCTTCTAAGTCTGCAGCAGACTAATTTCTGCTGCAAAAATCTGACCTGAATTGATGTGATACTAATTATGGCCTTTAAAACTATCTTCCTTAGGGTGACTAACAGTATGTTTTCCTATGAAAGTACTATATGTTTGCTTTTGGGGTGTTGCACCCACCCTTCCAGGAGTGTCACTGTGTCTAGCAGCATAATCCTTTCTAAAATCTGAAAAATTCGGCTGGGCACGGTGGCTCATGCCTATAATCCCAGAGCTTTGGGAGGCTGAGGTTGGTGGATCACTTGAGGTCAGGAGTTCGAGACCAGCCTGGCCAATATGGTGAAACTCTGTCTCTACTAAAAATACAAAAATTAGCCGGGCATGTGGCTTATGCCTGTAATCCCAGCTACTAGGAAGGCTGAGGCAGGAGAATCGCTTGAACCTGGGAGGCGGAGGTTGCAGTGAGCCGAGATTGTTCCTCTGTACTCCAGTCTGGGTGACAGAGTGAGACTTAGTCTAAAAAAAAAAAAAAAAAAATTTGGAAAAATTCTAAATTCTTAAACCCATTTAGTCCAAAAGCCTTAGCTACAGGACAGTGCACCTGGACTTTTCTCCCTAAGAAACACAGTCAGAGAGGTCCAGTCACCTGCCTCAGGCCCAGCTTAGGTGATAATGCTGAGGTTCCAACTCAGTTCCCTGTCTCAGAGCCTGGGACAAAGTGCAGACTGCGTGGCCTGGCCTCTTTGCCACCTGCTGGGTGGCGTGTGAATGAGAGACAGGTGTGGAGACTGCACTCACTGGCAGGTAGGCTGTATGTGGGGGAGGTGGGGGTCCTTGAATTTGTTTTCTGTCTGATCTGCAGCCTGGAACTGAGCCAGGGGGCCTTGTCTGGGGAAGGACAGAGAGGCAGAGAGATTGCAGAGGAGAGGGGAATAGCAGCAGCCATTAGGAAGCCTTGGGCCTTTGCCTATCACTATAGCACTGCTCTCCAAACTTCCTTGGATCACACAGCCCTATCAGTAAAAAAGAAACCAGAACAAAACCTCTTGAACATGCACCCCCAATATGTGGATATTGGTGTAATTATAAGTGTATGTTACAATAAGTATACACGTATATTACTTTACTGTTTCAGTGTGTACGTAATAAAACCTACACCAAAAACAGAAACCAAAGGCCAAGCTAAAGATGTAATAAAGAAAATTTTTACTTTGTTGACGGTACAGAAACCTCCTGGGTTCATACACGGGGTCATTTTTTGGAACGTGCGCTTTCGTGATCAGTGAGAGAGAGTTTGGAAGGTCTGGCTGGCTTCACGTTCGGCTTGTTTAGAGACTGGGTTTTAATGGCTGCTTTCCCTGCAAAAGATCCTGTCTGGGACAGGAAGCTGCACACGGAGCAGACGCATCCTTGGCTTTCTTTCTAAATCGGGTTACTCATTTTTCCATCCCGTCCACTGAGTATGCAAAGGATTTGTTGAAATTTGGCCGGTACATTTCCATCCTCCCTGATGCCAATCACGTTTTTGTAAACGAAATGGAAGGTATTTTATTTTAAAATTCTTAACAAGCGAGTCCAAAACCCACTAAAATGCTTTGGAAAATTTTTAATGGACTAGAAAATTCTGTTACGTAGCTTTTTAGGAGTTCAGCTATGAGAGGATTTTTTTTTTCTTTTTAAAGTCAGTGACAGACATATTGTTTTGGTGCATGCCAGTAATACCAGCTACTTGGGAGGCTGAGGCAGGAGAATCACTTGAATTCTGGAGGTGGAGGTTGCCGTGAGTCGAGATCGCGCCATTGCACTCCAGCCTGGGCAACAAGAGCGAAACTCTATCTCAAAAAAAAAAAAAAAAAAAAACTATTAATGTCCACTTCCAGGCTTTGATACTGTACTACAGCTAGACTAGACGTCACCCGTTGAGGAAGCTGGGTGAAGGGCATACAGGACCCTAGATTCTATTTTTGCAATTTCCTGTGAACCTACGATTATTTCAAAATAGAAAGTTTAAAAAGTCTTTATCAAGTACAGATGCACACCGAAGTATTTAACATTACATCTGGGGGACAGGGAAAGATGCAACAAGATTGCGCAGTGTTGCTAACCGTTAAAGCTCAGTGATGGAGAGGTGGAAAAATTCATTACACTATTTGTTCCAGTTTTGTATGTTTGAAATGTTCCATAATAAAAAGCTTTAGACAGCAGAACAACAGATTTTTCTATGAAATGTGTAGTAAGATGGGGAGGGACTCAGTTTGTATCAGAGATTTATTGGTTATCTTGTGGAAAAGCAATCAATAAGGATTGTTGGCCGGGCATGGTGGCTCACGCCTGTAATCCCAGCACTTTGGGAGGCCGAGGTGGGAGGATCACGAGGTCAGGAGTTTGATACCACCCTGTCCAAGAGACCAGCCTGGCCAATAAGGTGAAAACCTGTCTCTACTAAAAATACAAAAATTAGGCAGGCATGGTGGTGGGTGCCTGTAATCCCAGCTACTTGGGAGGCTGAGGCAGGAGAATTGCTTGAACCCGGGAGGCAGAGGTTACAGTGAGTTGAAGATCACACCACTGCACTCCGGCCTGGGTGACAGAGTGAGACTCCAAATCCAAAAAAAAAAAAAGGTCCCCTGGGCTAATTTTTGTATTTTTAGTAGAGACGGGGTTTCTTCATGTTGGTCAAGCTGTTCTCAAACTCCCGACCTCAGATGATCCACCCGCCTTGGACTCCCAAAGTGCTGGGATTACAGGCGTGAGCCACCATGCCCAGCCCAACAGTACTATTAACTGAAGTACAGACCTTATTCAGTTTTCTGCATTTTCATGTAGGGTGTATGTGTAGTTCTCTTCAATTTTATCACATGTAGATTCATGTAACCACTACCACTATCAAGATACAAACTGTTTCATCACCTGGAAGGAACTCCCCTGGTACCCTTTAAAATTACACACCCCCACCCATCATCGTCACTGTCCTCTGCCAACTACTACACCATGCTCCATCTTTATAGCTTTGTCATTTTGAGCATGTTACATAAATGGATCATGCAGTATGTGACCTTTTGAGATTGGCTGGTTTCACAAAATGTAACACCCCTGAGATCCATCCAGATCACTTGTGTGTATCAGTAATTTGTTCTTTTTTCTTGCTGGGTACTATTCCATGGTCTGGATATACCAGAGTTTAACTTTTTGCCTGTTGAAGTACATGGGTTCTTCCCAGATTTTGATGATTACAGATACGGCTGCCGTGAACATTTGTGTACAGGCTTTTGTGTGAATATACGTTTTCATTCCTGTAGAATAAATGTCCACAGTGATTACTGGGTTGTGTAGTAAATGCATGTTAGTTTTATAAGAAACTGCCGGGGCCAGGCATGGTGGCTCACGCCTGTAATCCCAGCACTCTGGGAGGCTGAGGTGGGTGGATCACAAGGTCAGGAGTTCAAGACCAGCCTGGCCAATATGGTGAAACCCCGTCACTACTAAAAATACAAAAAAAATTAGCCGGCCATGAGGCCGGGTGCGGTGGCTCACGCCTGTAATCCCAGCACTCTGGGAGGCTGAGGCGGGCGGATCACAAGGTCAGGAGTTCAAGATCAGCCTGACCAACATGATGAAACCCCGTCTCTACTAAAAATACAAAAATTAGCTGGGCATGGTGACACGCGCCTATAATCCCACCTACTCAGGAGGCTGAGGCAGGAGAATAGCTTGAACCAGGGAGGTGGAGGTTGCAGTGAGCCAGGATCGTGCTACTGCCCCTCCAGCCTGGGGCGACAGAGTGAGACTCCGTCTCAAAAAAATAAATAAATAAAAAAA